>NC_000002.12:29048373-29201124 GCF_000001405.40 Homo sapiens | reverse complement strand
TGGAGACCATCTTCCACAATGTTTTTTTTTTTCTTTAATCATAACCTCCTTTCAGGTTATGATTAAGGAGAAAAATGTAGCTTTTAAAGGCTGATACAGAACAGCTTGATATTTTAAAATCTTTTATCAGATTATCTTCATCGATTCAAATGTTTAACAGTTTAATCAGCAATAATGTTTGCTATTATTTCTATCAATCATTCCAGGCAGAGCAAGTTTAATACCAAAAGAAAGTGAAGTTTAAAAATATATATATACACATATATATACGTATCTATATACACACACATATATATACGTATATATGTATATACACACATATATATGTATACATGTATATACATATATATACGTATATATATACATATATACGTATATATATACGTATATATATACATATATACGTATGTATATTTGATTTTAAATGCTCTGGTGCAAAGCTTTGGGCTTTTGTCGCTCCTGTTTAGGGCAGGCTTATAGGTGATGAAAGAACCATCTGGCATACAAAATATAGATTTGCCTCATCTGTAGGGTTTCTAGATAAAATACAAAATGGTCAGTGAAATTGAATTTCAGATGCACAGCAAATAGTTTTTTAGTATAAATATTGGAGCATACATATACTAAAAAAACTATGTGTTGCTTATCTGGAACTCAAATTTAACTAGGTATCTGGTATTGTTTGCAAATATGAAAATCCTACTTATTCAAAATTGTCAAAGTTCTATGACCAATACTACTTCTTGCTCCCTTGAACTCTAAACTAAGAAAATAAATATTCATGTGCAGTTCTATTAGTGCTCTCAAAGGATGCTATAACCTATATCTATCTAGAAAAACAGAAAACATATAGCTATAATTCTTTAGGCCTTACTGCCAGTTTCTTGTTCATTTGATTTTGCCTAGTTAGTTTTGCCTTGAAGGGAAGTAAGATCACCAAACAGAAAGGAATAATATATGTGCCAGGCAATTTGTAAGTAGCAAAATCAAGAGATCTCCAAACAGAAAGGAATAATATATGTGCCAGGCAATTTGTAAGTAGCAAAATCAAGAGATCTAATAATGTATTCCAGTCTGTCTCGGATTAGTTGTATAATAACCTGTGCTTCAACCTTCTCACCTGAAAAATAGGGAAAATATCTTTGCCCAATCCTTCTCACAAGAGTCTTTGAAATTTCACACAGATGATGACAATAAAAGCACCCCATGTTTCTTAGAAGATGAAGGAACTATTGTTCTCTACAATTTTTGTGGTAATATTTGCTAACCTCAGAAAACTACAATCACACTAAAAGATAGTCTTTGTCAAAAAGCTGATCATTAGGTAGTGGTTTAAAGTTTTAATCAAAATATCAAAGGTGATTCTTTTAGAACACGAAGAATTCATCTCATAAAGCTTTTAAAAAAACAAATGAGAAATCAAATATTTTTTAAAGAGAAATAGAGAAAAATGCCTTTTCAGATTTAAGACAAATACACAGAAAGTAAAATAGAATGGTATCAATGCAAGAAGCAGACAAATAGATGAAGTGAAAATATAGCCAGAAACAGACCTGTTTTTAATCGTGAGTCAATGGGTAAGGAGGAAATTATCTTATGCATAGTGTTGGAAGAGTAGTTATTTGAAAAGCAAATCAATTTAGGTCCTTACCTCACACTAGACACCAAATTAAATTCCAACTAGATTTAAGAAGAGAGCAAAAACAAACACAACTAGAAGAAGATAGCAAATATTTATCTAATCTTTGGTGAAGGGAAGATTGTATAACTATAAAATAAAGGAAATCATGACATTAAAAAAATAGGTTTGACTATCTAAAAATAAAAATCTTTCTTTGGTATGCTAAAAAGTAGCATTAGAAAGCAACTAAGGCCAGGTGCGGTGTTTCACATCTGTAATCCCAGCACTTTGGGAGGCCGAGGTGGGTGGATCACCTGAGATCAGGAGTTCAAGACCAGCCTGGCCAACATGACGAAACCCTGTCTCTACTAAAAATACAAAAATTAGCCAGGTGTTGTGGTGGGCGCCTGTAATCCCAGCTACTTGGGAGGCTGAGGCAGGCGAATCACTTGAACCTGGAAGGTGGAGGTTGCAGTGAGCCAAGATGGCACCACTGCACTCCAGCCTGAGTAACAGAGTGAGACTACATAAAAAAAAAAAAAGAAAACAACTAATAAAAGTATTTGAATTTTTTATAAAAGGTTAACATCTCTGACATATAAAGAGTGCCTACAAATCAAAAAGAAAATTGATTGATAGATACCAATTTGTCCCAGCAGATAAAAATGGGCAATTCATAGGAAAAAAAAGTGAAATGAATTAATAAACACTTGGGAAAACATCCAACCATGTGAATTATCAAGTCAATAAACATAATTTAAAATATTCTACCATTTTTTCCCTTAAAATCAGCAAAAGTTGTCATTATTATTAAGAATACTCAATGCTGGTGAGTGTGTCTACCACGCTTTTACATGGTGCTGGTAGATGAACAGAGTAACACATTTGGAAACCAAATAATATGCACCAAGAATTTGTCAATATTCATAGTCTTTTGATCTAGTTATTTTACTAGAATTAGCCTACATTTTAATTCAGTAATTACCCTGAATTACTAGATTATCCTATCTGGATTCAAGATCTATCTTGAAAGTTATAGGACTGCTGACTGTTGGATGGGAAGTGGAGGGGTGTGGGAGAATGGAATCAAGGATGACTCCTAGGTTTTGGGCTTGAGCAAATGTATAACCAGAGGTGCTGATGAGTTGGAAAAGAATAAAGGAGATGATGTGTGTACAGAAAGAGTTCCATTTGGGCATGTTAAATTTGAGTTGCCTATTAAAATAGGCCAGTGAAGTTGATGAGTGGGCATCTGATAGATGAAACTGAAGCTCAGAGAACTGTAAGAGACTATGAAATCAGCTGGCTGGACATCCTAATCTAGTAATTCAGAGACTTTATCTTAAGGAAATCTTCCTTTTAAAAAATGCACAAAGATGTTCATTATAGTATTTTAAATATTTTGAAAACTGAAAACAATGTGGAAATGATAAGGCAAACCAACTACTCAATGGAATGTTTTACAGCCATTAGCCATTCCAAATGTTATTTATGAAATGGACTGGCATGGAAAATGTTTATGATATAATGAAATGTGCAGAAAAGTCAAGGTTCAAAATTGCATATTGAATATAACTGCAAATAAGTGAAAAAAAATCTCAGCACAGAAACGACTTAAAAATCAACAGGGGTTGTCTTTTAAGGGAGCATCATGTGTAGTATTTTCTTATTTTTTAAATTTTTCTACATTTTAAGAGTTCTATGTTATGGAAAAGGGTATAATGGGGGAAAAAAAGGTTGAAATTGTATGTCTGTGTGCCTGTGTGTGTGTGTGAATGTGGGTGGGTGTGTCTATATCCATCTCCATGTCCTCTGTCCCATGCCCAGGTCCTTTGGAGTGCTGCTATGGGAAATCTTTTCTCTTGGATATATGCCATACCCCAGCAAAAGCAACCAGGAAGTTCTGGAGTTTGTCACCAGTGGAGGCCGGATGGACCCACCCAAGAACTGCCCTGGGCCTGTGTATGACTCTTTTAGGAACACTTCTGCTAGTTACTAAGCAGTTTTTCTTTTCAAAAAATATCCAGAGCCACATATGCTTCTTTAAGATGAAGGGGCAGATGGCTGCCCTCCCTTTAATATGCCCCAAGATGCGAATGTGACTGCGACTTCAGTGAGATGGATGCGTCTCCCAGGCCCTCAAAAGCAAGGATGCCATCCCAGAAAAAGTATCCATTGTCTGGCTACAGGCTGTGGACTCACCAGGCCTACATTCCCCAAGCTCCTGCTGGGAATGTGTGTCCCAGGCCCAGTCCCTGCTGCCCTACACCGTATGTCTGTGTCTACTTTAAAGATTTCCATTCCCTGCAATGTCTCCTGCCCTGCCTGGCACCCCTCACTTCCTTCCCACAAGCAACGTGGATGGGAAATATAATTGGAATATTCTGTCCCCAAAGTGGCTTTAACTCAGGAATGGAGTGACAGCAGCCGTGGTTAACATAAACATCAGGATGTCTGTGTTAGATACCTTTACACCTGCGCACTCTTCCTTGACCAATCAGCAGGGGGCAGCATAGGCCAAGTACACGGGGCCTAGACGAGTTCGCACCCTCAACGTATTCGTTGCAACCCTGGGGCTGGAAGAAAATATATTTTTCATCATTGTGCTTCTCCTTATTTTAATTAATGTGCTTCTTCTTTTAGATACCGGATAATGACTCAGTGCTGGCAACATCAGCCTGAAGACAGGCCCAACTTTGCCATCATTTTGGAGAGGATTGAATACTGCACCCAGGTAAAACATTTTCTCCCTTTGGTCAACATTTACTCTATATGAAACAGTCTTAAAGATGGCAAATACCGAAATATGAAATAGGTCAAGCCAGTCAGAGTACAAGATTTATGATCAAAATAGTGAAAATTAATTTTCTCTAAAATGAAATGACTGGTGTCTCCATTTGCCCATTTTGTAAAATAAATATTAGTAACTTCACCAGCACACAGCACAGTGCCAGACACACAGTAAAAACTGGGGAATCAATCCAGTCCACGAGAATTTATCAAGTCCCTACTGGGGACCTAATGTTTTAGTAGCCAAAATTGAAGCTTCACAGACGTATGGAACACATCTGCTCTCAAATAGTTTAGAGCCTGGCTGGAGAAATAACAACATGTGAAGTAATTAATTGCATATAAAATTGATAGATTATATGTCCAACTATATATGTCAGGAGGATTAAGGGAATGAAATTTCAAAGTAATCTGGAGAAATTTTAACATCATCAATAATACTTGCTATCATTCATACTGCACAAATCACTTTTTGCGTATTTCGTTTTATCCTTAGTGGGGAATGTAAAATATCCCTACCTTATAGATGAGGAGTTAAGGCCTGAAGAGTCTGTCCAAGTCAAACATTCTTCTAGCAATCCTGTGGGTTCCTCTACAGATCCCTCTCCCATTCCTTCAATAACGACTCGAAATTTTTGCTTCTCTCCCTCATTTTCAGCCGACAGCTATGCTTCCTCCCTCACCAAGAGGGTGGAGATCATCATAAGAGAATGCCCTCATTTCCTCCCTGTCTCTGATACAAACTTCTCTGCCTCTGCCGCCATTTCTCACCACCTGCCTTCCCGTCTCTCCTCCCCTTCAAGGCCAGCCTTGCTGCCAGTATCACCAATCGCCTGCTCAGGGCTTTGTTCTGTCCGATGCTCTCCTCTTCCCTGTATTCACTTTCTTTCCCTCTCTCTTGGTTCTCGTTCTGCCAGGATATCTAATTCTGAGAATATTTTAGAAGAGTCAATAAACCACTATTTATTTAATTTAATTTTGGGAGCAGTCTCGCTCTACTGCCCGGGCTGGAGCACAGTGGCGCCATCTTGGCTCACTGCAGCCTCCACCTCCCGGGTTCAAGCGATTCTCCTCCCTCAGCCTCCTGAGTGACCAGGATTACAGGCATGTGCCACCATATCCAGCTAATTTTTTTTGTAATTTTAGTAGAGATGGTGTTTCACCATTTTGGCAGGCTGATCTCGAACTCCTGACCTCAAGTGATCCACCCGCCTCGGCCTCCCAAAGTGCTGCCACACCTGGCCTACCTACTATTTCTTTAAATCCCCTCCTCTTCATTGTGACTAAAGACAGACACATTTTTCAAACTGTAGTCATTTTCCAGCCTCACTACTCCATCCTCTTATTCCTTTCAGCTCACGTGAGTGAACTGGCATTTTTATCTATAGACTTCCTATATCACGTTATTGAAGGTTCTTTCAGAGAACTCTGTTTAATGACATTAGGTTATTTTGTTGTAATCTGAATGGAATACACCCACTTAAACATATATACCTTCTTAGGAGTATTTTTCTCAATAGTCTATAATATCCCTCTTAAAAGGCAGTTTTACACAAGCATATTTAAAATGATTGATTCACTATAGAAATTACTAAAACACAGAGGGAACTAAAGAATGTTTTAATGAGTCAGAGGTAGTTATTTTTTAAACTCGAACACTCGTGTTTTTCTGTTACTCAGGTAATGAGGGTATTTTCTCAATTTGCATAAAATATTAATTAATTTCTCCAAATTTAATTTTTCTTCCACAAATTTTCCCTAAACTTCTGGCAGCTGCTTCTGTTCTTCTATGTTACAGTCTATTACTGTGAAAATGATCTAGCACACAGTTGTTTTTGTAAATGGTTTTCCTCACAGCACTTCAGCATTTCCTGGGTTGTGCAAAGGGTCCCTCACATCCAGACTAGTTAAAGAATGCCTGTAATCCCAGCACTCTGGGAGGCCGAGGCAGGTGCCTCACCTGAGGTCAGGAGTTCGACACCAGCCTGGCCAACATGTTGAATGAAACCTTGTCTCTACTAAAAACACAAAAATTAGCGGGGGTGGGGGGGTGGGGGGGTGGGGTGCATGCCTGTAATCCCAGCTACTCAGGAGGCTGAGGCACGAGAATGGCTTGAACCCACTAGGCAGAGGTTGCAGTGAGCCAAGATTGAGCCATGGCACCCCAGCCTGGGCGACTGAGCAAGACTGTCTCTAAAAAACAAACACAAAAACATGCACTGTGGTACCTGCACATGTGATGATGTGGCACAGGAAAACTTACAATCAAGTGTAAAGTACCCAAATGGAAATGGAAAGCAGCTGGGAAGAGATCAAAAAATAAACCCTGTAGGCCAACATGGCATGTGTCTCCTCTCCTCCTCCCCCCAGCCCCCCACCATCACTCTTGAAGTCAAACACATAGGCTTTTATTTTTATTTTTTCCAGTTGGAACGATTTTAGTGGAACTAGACTGGAATAATACAAATAATAATCTTAATTTTTTTTTTAAATCCACTAATCTTTAAAAACTGGCCAAAGGTCTCCTCCTCTGCAAAGCTTTTCCTGCTCCACTCTGTCCCAGGCACCCATACACACTTCCATTATAGCGCTTATCCTCTAAGGTCTTTGAGGATAAGGATGACTTCCCATTCATTTTGTATGCCCCAGTGCCTGTAAGTTACTATATTCTCAATAAATCCTGGTTTCCTCATCTGTAGAATATGTTTAGATAACATCATCTCTAAGGTATCTTCTAGATCCAACATTTTTTGTCTCTGATTCAAAGTTTTAATAATTTCCCCTACGGCAGGACCCGGATGTAATCAACACCGCTTTGCCGATAGAATATGGTCCACTTGTGGAAGAGGAAGAGAAAGTGCCTGTGAGGCCCAAGGACCCTGAGGGGGTTCCTCCTCTCCTGGTCTCTCAACAGGCAAAACGGGAGGAGGAGCGCAGCCCAGCTGCCCCACCACCTCTGCCTACCACCTCCTCTGGCAAGGCTGCAAAGAAACCCACAGCTGCAGAGATCTCTGTTCGAGTCCCTAGAGGGCCGGCCGTGGAAGGGGGACACGTGAATATGGCATTCTCTCAGTCCAACCCTCCTTCGGAGTTGCACAAGGTCCACGGATCCAGAAACAAGCCCACCAGCTTGTGGAACCCAACGTACGGCTCCTGGTTTACAGAGAAACCCACCAAAAAGAATAATCCTATAGCAAAGAAGGAGCCACACGACAGGGGTAACCTGGGGCTGGAGGGAAGCTGTACTGTCCCACCTAACGTTGCAACTGGGAGACTTCCGGGGGCCTCACTGCTCCTAGAGCCCTCTTCGCTGACTGCCAATATGAAGGAGGTACCTCTGTTCAGGCTACGTCACTTCCCTTGTGGGAATGTCAATTACGGCTACCAGCAACAGGGCTTGCCCTTAGAAGCCGCTACTGCCCCTGGAGCTGGTCATTACGAGGATACCATTCTGAAAAGCAAGAATAGCATGAACCAGCCTGGGCCCTGAGCTCGGTCGCACACTCACTTCTCTTCCTTGGGATCCCTAAGACCGTGGAGGAGAGAGAGGCAATGGCTCCTTCACAAACCAGAGACCAAATGTCACGTTTTGTTTTGTGCCAACCTATTTTGAAGTACCACCAAAAAAGCTGTATTTTGAAAATGCTTTAGAAAGGTTTTGAGCATGGGTTCATCCTATTCTTTCGAAAGAAGAAAATATCATAAAAATGAGTGATAAATACAAGGCCCAGATGTGGTTGCATAAGGTTTTTATGCATGTTTGTTGTATACTTCCTTATGCTTCTTTCAAATTGTGTGTGCTCTGCTTCAATGTAGTCAGAATTAGCTGCTTCTATGTTTCATAGTTGGGGTCATAGATGTTTCCTTGCCTTGTTGATGTGGACATGAGCCATTTGAGGGGAGAGGGAACGGAAATAAAGGAGTTATTTGTAATGACTAAGCATGGGGAAAGACATTCTTTACTTGAAAAAGAAAAAATCATAGACAACTGAAATGTCACTTTAGGTGACGGTTAGATGCTTTTAATTGTGCTGATTCATCACCAATTGTAAAAAATGTCGTGAGTAGTTCCAGTAGTATAGCAGAAGTGTGTATATACTCATCTCAATGAAATGCATACATTCCAAGTGCTTTGAGTAGGATAAAGCACCAATACAGATCCAGAGATTCAAACATCCTATTAAATATACCTCATGCCTTAAGAAAATCCTCCTACTAGAAGTGAAAAACTGAGTGTGAGGTTTCCTACTGGATTTAAAACTCAAGATTTAAACTACTTATTTAAAAAATTTCCACTAATTAAATTTTGATCATTTAAAAGCAAAAATTTTAAGCAGCAGTGATACATGGAAGCATGGAAACATATCCATTTGTGGGCATAAGCGTCAATACATTTTAGGCCAAAACCTTCTATTCGTTTCAGTCATGGAATGAACTACCAAACTCAAGTTTGTACCTGTAGAGATGGACAGGGCCCCGGGAGGAACAGGCCGCTGGTGGTCCTAAGGAGAGGCACTGATCCAGTCTCTTTCCTTTCACCGTTAACCTGCGTTTTCTCTCCCTTCCTCATGTGATCCAAGTACACTGGGAACATAAATGTGCTGAAATACACATCGCATAATTTGTATAGCTGTCAAAGGCAGATTAAAACAAAGAATTTTTTCCCTAGGAGGCGATGAGGAAAGGAATTGTGGAACCCTTGGAGAGTTGAGGTTGACATTGACATGTTAGAGTGGGAGTTCTGAACTTGGTTTTCACAGATGAATTTTACTTCCATGAAAACGCATTGGGAATCTGTTTAATTTTACACACATACTTATGTGTGTAATGCTTAGAATGCTTTATCAGTAAGTCCTCATTTCATCCTCTTTCTGCTTCTCCTCTAGCCTCACGCCCACTTTCTTTCCTGTTGGTAGCTACACCAAAGCATTCAAGAGGAAAGCAATTCTCTTATTACTTGCTAGTTACTAAACATTACCAAACAAAAGGACTATGTGTGTGTATATTATAAAAAGTATATATATACATACCTTTTTCTGACCTTCTCAGTTTCACCTGCGTCAAAAGCATCACTTTCAGCGTGGGAAAGCCATTATGTTAAAAGCCAACACCAGACAACTCTTCCTTTCTCTGAAGGCAGTTGCCTTTCCCTGGAGTTAGAGTGTACAACTGTAAAAGCACTGATGGCTAGAGGCTACCTTCCTTATCTGCTTAACTGCCAAAAATATTTTCATCAGAGATGCATGAAGATGAAACATCAATGAACTCATCTCTAAATAAATGTATCGGTAAAATTCTGGTTCATGCCAGGCACAAAAGTAGCCTAATCATATACACATTATTTAACTCACAGACCATCTGAAGGGGCTCGAGAATATCACTTTGAGAAACACTCTTCCTAAAGGATACTGACAGAGGAGTTGTCAATAACTGAGAAAAACACCTCCATTTTAGATTTGTAACATCAGTAACCAATTAAGCTGGGAGTAAGCTATCTGGTTAAATAGCCATCTCTTTATTGTTATTCATGGGGAAAATATTACTTCTTTCCACTTTTAAGAACGACAAATCCATTACATTTTCAGGTTGTGCCTTTCTACCACTGAGATTGATTTGTTGATCTCTCTAATCGTCCTTATTGGTATCAACTTTCATGTAAATAATAGTCAAGTCTTAAAAGCTTGTATACATGGATAAGTAAATAAACAACTCCACACTGAGATGCGATGACCTGAAGATGTTTCATTTAACTTGGTGTAACCCATGGGTATCAGCATGGTATTAATCTGGACTATGGTCCACTCGAATATTGCTCCAGGCACATGGCTACAATTCATACAGACGCTATGGATTTTAATAAAGTTATTAACCATGATAGAAAGTTCCACCCAGAATATGAACGGGCACAATTAAAGTTTGCAGAAGCTATGCTAATTAAACCGTAATCTAGCATAATTATTTATATCCTATGTCTATAAGGCCCATCGAAAGTTCACAACTGTTCCACTGGGAAGCTGGCAATTTGTGAGCAATGACCAGTTTGTTAATATGTTGTACCTCAGGATTATAGCAATTCAGACTAGCAGGAATAAACTTTTTAAAAAGAGTATGCTCTACTCAGTAGTTAAAAGGCTGGATTCTCTTTCCACCAGTTAGAGTCTGAGTTCTGACTCCCCTTGAGTTATCTGACCCATTGGTACCTCAATGTCTGCAGACATAAAAGGAGGACAATCACCTCCCTTCCTCACAGCTCCTCAGGGAGATCATGCACTATGTGAAAGCACAGGCGCCCCCTCTTACACCTTGGCAGCCCCCAGGTGAGGTGGGGCTGGGTGTGGGGGCAGGTATGTCTATGCCTCCCTGCCCTCGTGCTCAGCAGTGGTTCTTGTCCCCACTCACATCCAGCCCTCTTGGCTCTTCCCATTTGTGCCATGTTTTCTTCATCTGTCATTTGGTTTTGTTGTTTTGACATATAATAATCATGTGTATTTATGGGGTATCATGTGATACTTCAATACATGCATATATTATATAAATGAAATCAGGGCATTTAGCATATCCATCACCTCCTATAGTTATCATTTCTTTGTGGTAAGAACATTCAAAATCCTCTATTCTAGCTATTTTGAAATATACACTATTGTTAACCATAGTCACCCGACTGTGCAACTGAACACCAGCACTTATTCCTCCTCCTAACTCTAATGACAGTAGCAGGAACCCTGCCAGAACCCAACTCCTTTTCAGCTCAAAAGAAGAACATAAAGTTTCTACCACAATTTCAGTAATTCTTTAAAAAAAAAATTTGGCATCTCCACATAGTACTTAGTAAACCCTATAGCTGTAAGGTATTATGTAACTACAGTAAAGTTTATTCTGTAAAACATGGGCCTTTATATCCAAATTCCCATAGCACACCACTAAGAAATTCTAATGATCAAGCCATTTTAATAGGTTTTCAGTAGTAATAGCAGGATTAAAATCCGTATGAGTTTTACAGACCTAAAAGGAGATGCATTTGAATTCAGGTTACTCTAAATAACAGGCTACGCATGACAAGATTCATAAAATTGTATGAAGTGTGTTGTCAATCTGTCTTTAATGGTTTTTAAAATGAGTCCCTAAAGAACACACAATTTGACTTTGCTAATTTCATTGCAGCAGATGGCTCCTGTGTTGTTGCATGAAAAAGCAAAACCAGCATTCCCGTAATCCTAAACATGCTGCTGTAAAATACAAGATCATTACTGAGAGCAAATAGTAAGGCTTCTATTAAGATTCTACTTTCATTTGGTGTCCTGAATGGGGGTGTTTAATTTTTGATGCACTACTCAGGTGCAAAACATTTTTTAGCCGTAGCCTAACAACTGTAAAACATTTGAAAAACTTGGTAAGAACAAACTACTATACGGGGGGTGCGGGGGACGGGAAGTTACATGAACTATGACCACAAAACTACAGGAATCACCTTCCTCTCTTCAGCATGCAGTAAGTGTAAAACAGGTGTGTTACCCTTGACATGGAAAGATGGCACTACAAGTCTAACCTCAGAAAAAGCACAAATACCAAAATTAGTCTTTAGTGCCTTCACATGTCCATTTCTTATATCCCTCTTCTTGACATCCTCGGGCTCTCTCCCCATCCCATCAATTTCCTAAGACTTATTGCCTCCTTGTGAGAACTAACCCACAGTTATTTTTCCTCCATCACTCAATGTTCATTTCAGCTGGTGTTAGGTGAAAGACAGTCTTATTAAACAAACTCACATTGAAACCTTAGCAGCTAGGGTAGTATTTCTCCCTACAATATTTACATATTAGAAGAGGTATTTGCTAACATAGATGAATATCAAATTGATAAAACTTCAGATGATTATATCATCTCGGATGGTTTAGCATTCATCAATTACTTGAGAAAACAGCAAGCAGACCAGGCAGGAGTTAAGAGACCTACCACTACTAGACTGCAATTACTACCTCCCTGACTCAAGCAAGTTACTGAAACTCTCATTTTATTTAAAAAACGAGGTCAGGAGTTCAAGACCAGCCTGGCCAACATAGTGAAACCCCATCTGTACTAAAAATACAAAAAATTAGCCAGGCATGGTGGCAGGTGCCTGTAATCCCAGCTACTCGGGAGGGTGAGGCAGGAGAATCGCTTGAACCCAGGAGGCGGAGGTTGCAGTAAGTGGAGATCACGCCACTGCACTCCAGCCTGGGTGACAGTGCAAGACTCCATCTTCTATATACATAGAGATATATATAGAAGGCTTTGGTCTCAAAGGCCCCTTCTAACTGTCAAGTCCATGATTCTGTAGGACTTCACCTGTGTAAGGTAAATTCCAACACCCAGTCATTATCAGTGGAGCATCACTGGTGTGTGCATGTGTCCTTGACCTTAACTCTTATCCCAGTGAGACAAATCATATGTAATCTTTATGTAGAAGTAGACCAGAGAGTTTAGTATCAGTCCTGTTTATTCAAAGATCTTTCTATTCAAAGATCTCTTTAACAAATCATCAAATCCTTACCATAGCAAAACGAGATTAATCAGGGATGATTTCCAGAAAGCAGCAAAGCCGGCAGAACTATGAGTCATGTCCATTTAATGACTTTCATGCTTTCAGTGCCACATCACTTATTTCTCTTTCATTACATTTGCTATAATGGGAACCTTATTAGCAAAGTAAAACCATAAAACTTATCTTTTATCACACCTAATATTTGATGGTATATCTGATGCACTTTCTTTTTGTCAGTTGACAATTTGCACCTCTTAGTGCCTGTATTAGTCTGTTCTCACACTGCTGATGAAGACATACCTGAGACTGAGTAATTTATAAAGAAAGAGAGGTTTAATGAACTCACAGTTCCACATGGCTGGGGAGGCCTCACAATCATGGTGGAAGGCAAAGGAGGAGCAAAGGCATGTCTTACATGGCGGCAAGCAAGAGTGTGTGTGCAGGGGAACTGCCCTTTATAAAACTATCAGATCTCATGAGACTTACTCACTATCATGAGAACACCATGGGAAAACCTACCCCCATGATTCAGTTACCTCCCACCAGGTCCCTCCCGTGACACATGGGGATGATAGAAGCTACAATTCAAGATGAGATTTGGGTGGGGACACAGCCAAACCACATCGGTGCCCATTCCCAAAGTGAGGTGGCAAAGCCTAAAGCAGGCCAGGTGTTTGAGAGCAGGAGATGCCTGTGGATTCTGACGCTCCTCAACAAGCGCATCCAAGTGCCATTATGATGGGCAATTCATGAGGAACAGGAGTCTTCTCTCACAATCACCATAGAATTGGATAGAACCCCTCTCTTCAGGTTTTATAGAGCTATCCACTGCCATTGGATGGCAATTTTTGGAGATCTGTTGTGAACCATATAGCTTTATAATGGATCCCTAGAAACAGGGAATCCAAAAATATAGCCAATTCAAACAATCCACCAAGATAAGATTGTGACGACTGTGGGCAAATTTCCTATATTTTACTGCATCTAATAGTTGAGAAAAGAAACAATTTAAATCTTTTTGCATTATTCTCAAAGTAATATTTATATAGTATTTCACAGTTCTCAGAAGAAATAAAGTAATTTTCAAGATAGAAATTCTTTTTCCTCAAGTACGTACCAGGAAACAGCTGGTGATGTTTTATAAAGGATAAGAAACTAAAGCAGAAAATTACACTGGATTTTCTTTTGTCACACACCAGGGGGTGTAAAGTGAGGCCTCAAGAATCTCATGCTATTTCTTAATTCCCTAAGCTCTATTCCCTTCAAGAAAGAGAAAATATCATCTGAAAAATTACAGTATTTTCACTAATATATGTAATGTATTGGAATTCTTATTAGAAATCCATTTGTATTAGCAGGTTCAATAAAGGTGACTATAATTTTTCGCTTTATTCTTCTGCTCTGTAATGCTCTATATTGTCTGTAATGCAAAATCCGCTTCCCCTTGCCATCAATACAAGACTTTTTATGACTATTAAAATTCATTTAAAAATCCATTATAGGGGTTTTTCCCCCCAAAGATACTGGATAGTAACACCCACCCTTCACGACAAGAACTGTCAGGGGCAGCCAATGTCATTAACACTGTTGACTGAGTTTCAAGCTGAATCTCAGAAGTCATACTAGAGAAAAGAACAAAACGCATGGCTTGAAGCTGTGCATATAATCTTAACCTGATTCATCTCCATGTCAGTCTGATTTGATTTGTTAGGTGAAAAATAATAATTAGTTCAGTCTTCAATAAGGTAAGTCTGTCTACGTGGAATAAAGTCATGAAGGGCTGGAACTGAAAGAACTTAACCTCCACCAGATGGACACAGGCCAAGAACACAGCACTTGGATGGTTAAACCTTCCATGCTTTAGAAATGCCTAAAATTCAAATTCAGTACAGGATAGTTAGCTTGCTCAGTTCAACTGATCCCAGTTGGATTTTATGTAGCCAGTTGAAACAACTCTGACTACATATCTAATCCTGAGACCAAATTTCTCCTGACACAGGAGTCTATTGGGGTTACGGTAGCAACAAACTCACATATCTGGGTTCATGTGAGATTTTAGAGCCGAATTTAAACCAGATTTATGAGCATTTAAAAAATGACACCAGTGATCCTTGGGAACAGATTATGTTTTCAGCTAACAGCCTCAATTTAAACACCTGAAATATCTTTAATAATTCAGAATGCCCTGCCCCTTCTCAGCACCACCATGACGACTACGCTTGCCCTATTTGAAAGGTATAGTAAATGATGAAATTTGCTGCTGATTTATTGTCATGAACATTCTATTCACTGGAAGACATTCTAAAAAGATAAACGGAAAAAGCTTCTCTTACACCTTGAGGCTGCTCTCAAGGGAGAGCTATAAAACAAAAAGTTTCATTTGACCACACATAATGAAACGATATTAATGTCAGTAATATGTGCTCGTCTACTCAAATTCCACCACGTATACTTTTCCTCTCATAAAAAGGAGAATTAGCAAAAAAAATATGGTAGAACAAAATCTTTTTGCCTATGCAAAGGCATCATATTCTGCTTATAATACACTATTAACATGTCCTGAAAGCTTAACTTGTTCAGCCCATACACAAATTTCATTAGGAATGTTTATTTTATAATCAAACAGTATATGTGACATTGTTTGTAAATAAGGCCTGTGTACCAAGGGATACTAAACAATTACTAAAAATATACACGATAACGTGAGTTTTGTATTAACCACTGTATTTGTATTATAAATAAGTGAAGGAAAGGGCATGAAAAAAATAAATTAATCCTTCTATTGGCTTGCAATGTGGCTATGAATATTATATGTCTCTGAGTCATTTAGTCATTTGTTACTTAGATAACAAATATCCATCTGGTAAGTAGTTAAAATTACTAGAACTATTTCTCAATTAAGAATGATTTTAACACAATAGGCTTCTAGCCATTGGTTGATGTGGTTTAAATAATATTATCACACATTCTAAAAAGGGAGCCTCAAAATAAAACTCTGAAATAAAAATATCTAACACAGCCAGGCACGGTGGATCACACCTGTAATCTCAGCACTTTGGGAGGCCAAGGCAGGTGGATCACCTGAGGTCTGGAGTTCGTGACTAGCCTGGCCAACATGGTGAAACTTCATCTCTACTAAAAATACAAAAAATTAGCTGGGCATGGTGGTGGGTGCCTGTAATCCCAGCTACTCGGGAGGCTGAGGCAGGAGAATCACTTGAACCCAGGAGGCGGAGGTTGCAGTAAGCCGAGATCCCGCCACTGCATTACAGCCTGGGTGACAGAGCGAGGCCCTGCCTCAAAAAATATATATATAGATAGATAGAGATATATATTTAATACTGGAGATCAACGTTATCCCCACTTGAGTATGATCCAGTTCATTCTCTCCATATTAGACCACATGTATTACCATATTCTCTAAATTATCATCATATTAAAATAGGAATTCAAAGTTAGCCCCAGGCAGAAGGGAAAGGGAGCTGCCCCAGGTGGTCCTGCTGCGTCTTTCCTCCCCATTCCCTACTGCTGCGCCACTCAGCATCTGTTGTCTCTTACACGGCACTCTTCAGGGGTAAGTTGGGCTCCTGGATTCAAACTTTTCTTGTCCTCCTTCCTCCTTTCGTGTCTAAGAAAATTTACCTGTTCTGTGGCCTAGTCTTGCAAGGCCCCTTGTGTGAAGCTAGCTAGATACTATCTCTATTTCCAACAATCAATGGCCTTTACTGCCTTTGTTCACTCAACAAAACCGAGCATCTACTAGGTACCAAGTATTATTCTAGGTGTTGGGGATAAAGTGGTGAACAAAACAGTCAAAAATCCACTCCTCAATCTCGTGAAGGAAGAAAGAAATAATAAGCAAGAAGTTGTAATCAGTAATAAGCATGACCAAATGCTAAAGAGAAAAATAAAACATGAGAGGGAAACAAGGAGCTCTTGGGAGGAGGTGCCAGAGACTCACAACAAGATTACAACACCAGAGTTCACAGTTAGCAAACAGCAGTACTCAACATTCTTACATACTTAAAAATATTCCCCCCAAATCACCCTAAATATAAAAACAAAGTTTTTTAGTAAAAGGCAGCTAATTATTTCTATTTTTTAATCTAAATTCAAAGTGTTCCATCCTACCCTAAATAAACAAGTGAAATCCCAACTGTAGAAATACGTTCTTTTCTTAAATGACTCACTATTCATCAAAACAATACTAATAGGATGGTGGCTATGAACATAGACTGTTGAGTAGAAAGCATGATACTTTTTAATACTCTTTATAGGGACAGGACAAATCCAAGCCATTACCGTGAGGAAAAAGTTCAAAGCATATGCACCCTGAGTTACTGAGAAAAGCAGAGTTGCAAATAGGGTAAATGACAAGATACCATTCCAAAACCACACAGCTTCCCTTTTTATTGATGCTCAAGAAGTGAACTTTAAATGACATTTCATAAGCAAAACACAAATGAAAACACCTAATGTGCATGTATAGTATATGTAAACATACATAGTATATGGACTCAATCATCCTCATCTAAATATAAAGAGAACAACTGGTTCTTTGACCTCAAAAATAAATTCAATGTTGGCATTACTGTTTTTAACTTACAGTGTTTTATATTTAACAGGAAAAATTATGAATAACCAAGTTTGGTGTGGTCATGGATTTCATGTTAAGGTATAAATAGAGTTTTTAAGAAATAATCTGTATAATAAAATAAGTTTACTTTTGAATCGCAGTACAGTCATTTCCTTCAATCAATAAAAATATTCCTTGATTACAAAGCAGCCTTATTTTGCAAATGTATTTCAGGAAAATAGCTCTAGCAATATTTGAAATACCACACTATTTTAAAAAGGCAGCGAAGTGACAGAATTTAGATTTAAAATAGTATATTGCAAAATAGTTCAACATATTATTTCTAAGCACAAGGCAAGCTCCATTCTGAAGGATGCTTTTTAATCTTATAAAGCAAACTGTTCCAATATTTCTGTGGTAAAGTCTAAATATTTACAATAAAAGATGAATCTTTACACAGACAGGACATAAACTTCAATACCTAACCACAATGCAAACATTTTACATTATGACATCACTCTAATGTGAAGCTTAGTTTGTTAACATGTGCTCAAGAAGGAAAATAAAAACAATACAGTTCTGTAGCTTTGTAACAGGCAGAACTCTGCAACAATTAGAGAAATAAAAACAGCAAACAACACCAGTTCTATGAGTAACAAAACAAAAAAAATCCAGATATTATAAACATTTAAGTAAATAACTAATACATCCTTCCTGATATATCTTTATTTGCTCTCTTCTGTTAAATACGTTTTTTAAAATGTTTCTCATATCCCAGGAGGAAAGGACAGTAAATTATTCACAAAGATAAAAGTGCATCATGTTTGAAAAGTGCTTTGTGTTTATGTGTTACAAACATATCCAATAAGGAAGTTAAGTAAGTCTGTGCAAAAAAAATCTAATTATTACTTGAATTCATAAACCTTAATCATGGGTTTTTTGTAGTTCATCCAGATGAAGCAGTCAAGCAGCAGAAGAAAAATCTGAGATTAGACATTTTGTATAGCAGAAAGAGCACTGGGCCACAAGTGAGGAGACCCACAGTCTATTCTTAGCTCAGTTAACCAACCAGTTAGTGACCCCAGGTAAGACGGGCTTCCATTTCAGTATTTGGCAATGGGCAAGAAGCAGAGCTGGAGAGCCTCTAAGGCCCCTTCCAACTCCAAAATTATCATGTATCTTTAGATGAGGCATTTCTGAAAGGGCAAATAATTTTACCAAAATATAAAACTACATACTAGTCATCTAGCTACTACTCACTCATTGGACTTATTAGTAATAAAGCACAGAAAGAAAGAAAAATTCCAAAAATGATTGACAAAAAAAGGTCACGTGAACATTACACATAACCAAAGCTAGAGAAACCCTTCACAATTAGGGCACTAAGAAAAATCCATTATGATGTGCAAAAACAAAACAGAATAAGCAAGAAATGCAACAGCTGGTCACCTGATGGCACTTTTTCTTCCTGAGTCCCAGAATCTTCTTGGAACCTAAAGCTTTAATTGGTACTTATTTTGAAAATTGCTTTAAAAGAACCATGATTCCCCATAGTTCATATTCATGGCTTTGTAAAGAACTCTCTCTGAATTGTTATAATGGTTTTTAAGAAGATAACTATATTTTCAAAATTTTAATATGGCTAAATAAAGTAAACCATTTACCATGGACTCTTTATTTACACCAAATATATATATTTGAGCTTATTTAATATTTTAGAAGCTTAACAATTCTCATCCACAAGTTTTGACCCATTAATTCCCCGATAGGTCACTCTGCTCGGTCGAACTAAGACTCCATGGTTCGGCTTACAGGTGAAATAGCGCTTGTCACCCACTGACCCATCATTTTTTCCCTTGGCGCTTCGGAGCTCAAGTCCAAGCCAGATACCTGAAGCAAAGTCAGTGGGGCCCACATACCTAACAGTACCCATCTCATTGGAGCTCGTGAGCAGGACCTGAGACCCCTCGTGCAGCTTCACGCTCCCTTCAATGCCACCTGCGGTGGGGGTGCTGCTCCAACTGCGACGCAAAGCAGCTTTCGATCTGTGCGGAAGGGAAAAGTGGGAAAAATTATTTAGTGCTGAAGCCACGTAATGCAATGCATCATATTCATTTCCACTGCCAGATTCAGAATTCATTCACTCAGTTCCCAAAAGAGAATACTTTATGGTCACAACTTGATTTTTAAATTTTAAATAGCAGTTTTAGAGTATACAGTTGACCCATGAACTACACAGGTTTGAAGTACGTGGGTCCACGCATACACAGAAGTTTCTTCCACCTCCGCCACCTGGGACAACAAGACCAACCCCTTCTCTTCCTCCTTCTCCTCAGCCTGCACAAAGTGAGGACAATGAAGAAGAAGATCTTTATGATGATCCGCTTCTATTTCAGGAATAGTAAATATATTTTCCCTATGACTTTAACATTTTTTTCTCTTTATAGTAAAAATACAGTACATACTATATGTAACATACAAAATATGTATTAATCAGCTGTTTATGTTATAGGTAAGGCTTCCAGTCAACAATAGGCTATCAGTAGTTAAGTTTTGGGGGAGTCCAAAGTTACACACTGATTTTCAACTGTTGCAGGCAAGCAGGGGATGGCACTCCTAACCCCTGCACTCATTACTCAAAGTTCAACTGTACTTCTGTTTAACATTTTAAAAGTTTTTGTCTTTTGCGCTATTTTAAGACTACCCCATTCTGGATTTAAGATTTCATTTGCCATATATATATATATACATGTGTACACACACACACACACACACATACATATATATGCTTTCAGTAAAATAGCAATTAGAAAAAATACACTTATACCTAATTAATTTCTACCAGTATTATCAAATAACGCAAAAAGAATCTAGTATTTTGGCTGTTTTAATTGCTATCAATATTATCAAATAAAGCAAAAAGAATCTAGTATTTTGACAGTGTAGTAAATTTAAATTATTTTTTGTTCACTTTAAAAAATATTTTTTCATATGCAAACAAATTTTAAAAACTGTAAATCTACAACTTTGGAAATATCTATACACATATGTATGTATGTTCTATGTATGAACTCCAGTTACGGTTAAAGGTTTAGCACCCTCCCAGCCACTAACACTAACGAGGGTCTGAGGTGCCTTGAGCAGCTGCCTCTCCTTCTCCCTACAACATAACATTCCTTACAGTGTGCAAGAACGTCTCCTAGCACTCACCACCACCACAACCTGATAATGAGGCATGGGACTCCCCAGTGCACTCATCCAAGGCCTCAAGGCTATATTGCCCCAGAGCTGCCTGCACTGTCCACTGCAAGTAGCTTGACCCTGATATTCACCCACAATAGAAACATGACCAGGGTCTTGTCGCTCCCTGAGCTGAGACCTTCTAAAACGGCCAGAAAGAAACCATCAAAACTACCTGGTGCCTTCCATCCTCTATCCCATGCCACCTCTCCTCCAAAAGAAACCCCTCTCCCTACCCCACAGGATATTCAACACAGAACTTGTTACTAACACTACACAGGATCTTGTTGTGAACAGAATCTGGGTCTTACTTATTTCATATTTCATTTCACTTTCTATATTTTTAATACACTGTCACACACAATGTCTCATTTGTTCCTATTAACCACTCTATAAGAAAGGAAGATGACTAATTTTAATGGATAGGAAAACTGAGGCTCAGAGATTTATTCTAAGCCACATCTGCCAGTAAGTGATAGAATTCTAATTAGAAAATAGTCTTAAATTATTTACATGTCAAATGCACAAATACAATAATAAATTTAATAAAGAAACATGTAATACCTATAAGAAAAAGCATACATCTTTACTGAAGAACATACATGGAAGAGCTCTGTTACTAAAGAGAAATGTATATAGGTTAATTCTCCCCAAATGGATGTTTTTTGTAACCTGACAAAATTACTGTAATTTTCATAGGAATGATGACAATAGCTATCATTTCCTGAACACTTACTAGGTACCTAACACTTCACATACGTTATCTCTTTCGATCTCACCCAAACCAGGGAAGATGGGATTATTACCTCCTTATAATGGAAGAAGAATCTGAGGTTCAGAAAAACTAAGCTATGTGCCTAAGGTCAGAGAGATGAAAAGAGCAAAGATGAGGCTCAGATCCATGGCTGTATAAGCACAAAGGCCAGGCTCTCTTCACAAACAGAATGGGTACTGGCAATTAAGAAAAGGCTGAAAAATAATGAGGCAAGGTTTACGCCGCCATTAGGTTAAATTATAAAGTTAAAATAGTTAAAACAATGTGGCTCTGTCGTAAGAATGTAGTTTTAAATGACATAGAAAACATATTCTAGAAAAATGAAAAATAGACATAATTATTTTACATGTGATTAAAAAGTAAAACTTCAAAGCAGTGAAAAAGGAGGGAACATTGAATCAGGAGTGCTGTAAAAATTAGCTGAGAAAAAGGATATGACTCTCACCACTCCTCTATATTAAAATAAACTGCAAATAAAGACCTTTAATGCATAAACTGAAAAAAAGAGGCTGGGCGCAGTGGCTCATGCCTATAATCCCAGCACCTGGGGAGGCTGAGGCAGGCAGATCACTTAAGGCCAGGAGTTTCAGACCAGCCTGGCCAGCATGGTGAAACCCTGGCTGTACAAAAAATACAAAACTTAGAAGGGCACAGTGGCAGGTGCCTGTAATCCCAGCTACTCGAGAGGCTGAGGCATGATAATCGCTTGAACTCGGGAGGCAGAGGTTTCAGTGAGCTGAGATAGTGCCACTGCTCTCCAGCCTGGGCGACAGAGCAAGACTCTGTCAAATAAATAAATAAATATTGAAAAACACACTCACACACACATATATGCAGAGAAAGAGATAGGAAGTATTGGGAAGGGAGTAAGGAAGAGGAGAGTTCAATACATGTTTTAGAAGTCTGGCATCTATTACTAGTTAAATTCTGATTTTTTTCATTTATTATTGTGCCATAAAAATGTTTTCGTATCACAGCACAGTCTTTAAAAACATTGCAAAAGTCACGCTGAAGGAAGCTATTAAACAATATGGGAATATGAGCACGATATACAGGGGAAAGCTTTGAAATGGGCATATGGAATATGATTCATCTCCCTTTGCTTAAAAATTCAGACACATGGCCAGGCACAGTGGTGCACACCTGTAATCCCTGAATTTTGGGAGGCTGAGGCAGGTGGATCACCTGAGGTCAGGAATTCGAGACCAGCCTGGCTAACATGGTGAAACCCCGTTTCTACTAAAAATACAAAAAATTAGCTAGGCATGGTGGTATGAGCCTGTAATCCTGGCTACTCAGGAGGCTGAGGCAGGAGAATCACTTAAACCCAGGAGGCAGAGGTTGCAGTGACCAAGATCACACCATTGCACTCCAGCTTGGGCAACAAGAGCGAAACTCTGTCTCAAAAAAAAAAAAAAATTCAGACACATGCATTAGGAAAACAATTGGAAAAGTGTATACCAAATGCTAACAGTGATAATCTCATCTAGGTAACAAAATTACAGATGACCTTTTTGCATTTGGTTTTTCTTCATTTTTCAAATATTGTACAACTTTCATAAACAAAAAAGCTTTTAAAGAAACAAGTAAATAATGGATTCAACATCTAAACCAAAAATTAATGGGTTGGGTAAACACTTAACGTTCTAATAAGAATGATTTATTTGATTCAAGGTATGTCAAAGCTCAAAAGCCAGAGAATTGAGACACTTAGAATTATGGTATGTTTGAGAGCTCTGTTTACTCATTCAAAAATATTTATTGGCCACCTATGAAATGGCAGGCATGGGGCTATGTTCTAGGTATTTGTACATAATAATCAGTAAAATGTTATAAATACTACAATAAAGACTGTATACAGTACAGAATCAGCTAAGAGGAAGACGTCTCTTCTCCCTTAAAGCCTCAAGAAAGACACATTAGTGGGGAAATGACATTTCTGCCAGCTTGAAAGATAGGCACACAGAAAAGGAAACGCAGAGATCGTCATCTGAGAAAAATATATATATTACTTTTTTTTTTTGAAACAGAGTCTTGCTGTCACCCAGGCTGGAATGCAGTGGAGCAATCTAGGCTCACTGCAACCTCTGCCCCCCAGGTTCAAGTGATCCTCCTGCCTCAGCATCGCAAGTAGCTGGGATTACAGGTGCCTGCCACCATGCCCAGCTAATTTTTGTATTTTTTTTTTTTTTTTGAGACGGAGTCTTACTCTGTTGCCAGGATAGAGTGCAGTGGCATGATCTTGGCTCAATGAAACCCCTGCCTCCCAGGTTCAAGTGATTCCCCTGCCTCAGCCTCCTGAGTAGCTGGGACTACAGGTGCAAGCCACCACACCTGGCTAATTTTTTGTAGTTTAACAGACAGGGGCTTTCACCATGTTGGCCAAGATGATCTCGATCTCCTGACCTCAAGTGATCCTCCCACCTCAGCCTCCCAAAGTGTTGAGATTATAGGCATGAGCCACTGTGCCTGGCCAAACTGTTTGTTACTTTTTATACTCCTGAAAAGCATACAGTTTAGAGAACTGCAATCACCTGTGAGGATATTGCCATGAAAAAAAAGTCAGGGAAACACAAGAGCCAATCGTGTAGGTCTTCGAATGCTAGGCCAATAAATCTGGACTTCATTCTGTGTTTGAGAATTCGAAAGCTTTAAGGGACAGGCAGAAAACAAACCCAAGCACATGATGTGAGAGGACAGACCTGTGGCCAACTGGATGGTATCAGTTTTGCCTAAAGACAATCAAATTTGGGCTGACCAAACCATGCCAATGAGCCAGATTCTACAGACAGGACCCAGTGAGGATTTCTGAGCAGGCCCTGGTGGTAACATGGAGAAGAGTTAAGTGAGTTGGTAACAACAGGACAGGAGACAGATCCCAGGCGGGATGTACACATCCGCAGAGTGAAGGAGAATCAACGCCTCATGCCTATCAGGTCCCTCTGACGACCATGGTAAAATCTCAAGCTCATTCTTGGCACTGGACATACAGTGTTCTGAAGACAGAGCTGCTTCCCTCCCCCTTTCTGCCATGTCTTCCTCGGGATGAAACGCATTCCTCACTACCATTTCTATACGTGATCGAGAAAAATCTGTTCCTTCTCCTCTCCCAGCTTGCTTTCACTCACAGGGGCCAAACGTGCCCTCCAAGGCCTTCAAGTTTCTACCCAAGAATGTCCATCATCTCTGACTAGATTATCCACATTTCTTCTCAAAGTATCATTTATTTCCATACGAACAAGCAAGGACATGGAGCAGAGTTTGATGAATCTCAAGAAACATACTTTCTCAACACACGTGTCTCAGAACACACCATGTCTCCAGGTTAACAACAGCACAACACACAATCAACTCTGGCCCCTTGGCAGAAGGCCATCGAGCACTGCCCTGTCTCCCTCACCCCTAAGAGCAGGGACAAATGTCCTAGTGCCTGCCAGCACCTGAAACCCTTTCTTTTGTTTCTGAGAACAATGATCACCATTTTGGTTGCACACTTTATGAGTAAAAACAGATAAATTAATAATTTAAAAAGTTTATTCTCAGCCGGGTGCGGTGGCTCACGCCTGTAATCCCAACACTTTGGGAGGCCAAGGTGGGCAGATCATGATGTCAGGAGATCGAGACCATCCTGGCTAACACAGTGAAATCCCGTCTCTACTAAAAATACAAAAAATTAGCCGGGTGTGGTGGCGGGCGCCTGTAGTCCCAGCTGCTTGGGAGGCTGAGACAGAAGAATGGCGTGAACCCGGGAGGCGGAGCTTGCAGTGAGCCGAGATCACGCCACTGCACTCCAGCCTGGGTGACAGAGCAAGACTCTGTCTCAAAAATAAAAAAATTAAAAAAAGAAAAAAGTTTATTCTCTATCCTCAATAAAAGTATATTTTTAAGGGACTAGTGTTAACCTGTATAAGTATTACTAAAGCTTTTTTATTTTTAGAGAAAACAGGGAAGTACTGATATTTCCACCTCACGTCTACAGAGCGTCTTGTGTATAACCATACCTGCTGTATAATTCCCAGGGCTCAGATTGTTTTCTCCTTCCCTTGCTTCTCTGTATCATGTTCTTCCACTCACCAACATCTCGACACTGATTTGGACACCTCTCCCCCTTCAGAATCCTTTATGTCCTGGGTGTTTCTTCTTAGCAGCTTCTTCCATTCTGCCTAAGAACTCTTGAATATCTTCAATAAACTGGAGCATAAACTGACTGCCCTTAAACTCCTTCAGCTACTCAAGCAAGAAGACCTTCAAAATTCTCAAAATTGGTGATGGTTTTGAGGAAGGGAGAAAAACAGCCCCACCCAACCCTCTCAACAGTACCTAACAGTCCTCAGGATGAGCCAGGTTTCTCCCATGAAATTTCAGATCTCTGTGAAGCTTGCCAATACCTTCATGCCAGAAGGTAAACAAATGACCTGCCTATCCACAGTGGGACATCAAGTTCTAGCCTCTGGGCTCTAATTTCTCGTGGCTCCTAGGGTCCCATTACTTAAACAAGCACGTGTACTTCCCTAAGCAGCTAAGCCTTTTCCCCCAGGGTATTATTCATAGATTAACTGGCAGCACCTCTAAACCCAATCAGTCTGGAAGAGCCTCATATTGCTCTAAAGTGAAAATGCTTCAGAAAACCAATGGGGGGTAGTGAAGTGGGTCTCAGGGAGATAAACAAAAATGAAAAAGAGAAAAGGGCATTCTCTCTGCAACAAAACAAAAAAAAAGGCTTTTTTGAGCATTATACTCTTAAGAGGAATTGGGAGCATTTTTCAAAATAACTGCAAGATTACGCCTTACATTTCTTTCATGTATCACTGACAATATTAAATCAAATCTCTCATTACTTAAGGAGAGTTTAAAAGCAATCCACCCTACTTAATGAAAAGACAATATGTAAATTCCTTTAACTTTTATTAACAGTTCTGACCTCTATGAAGATAAAATATATGCAGTGCACTAGTTTTAGTCACTGGTGACATTTTTAATTGCGCTTGCAAAGGAGGGAGGAAGAACGCTTCTCAATACACTTATCACACCTTTTCTCCTACGTGTTAAAACTCTACCAAGCAATGCAAAAGATACAGCACTCCACTTTTCTTTCTTCACAGAATCCCATCATGTTCATCTTGAAAGGTGTTTTTCTAAATCTTCTTAATACTCACTTGGAAAAAGCATTTCTTCTGTTAATCTCCTTTTGGGAAGAAGCAGAAGTTGTGCTAAAACTTCTCCTAAAACCTAAATATGAAAGTTGGGGTTAGCAGAGGAAAAATATAAGCTTTCAGTCCTTATTTAAAATGATATTTTATCACTTCTTCTGTAGATGTTCTATTATATTAAATGTTTCTTTCAAAACAGCAGGCTGGCATGGTGGCTCACACCTGTAATCCCAGCACTTTGGGAGGCCTAGTGGGAAGACTGCTTGAACTTAGGAGTTCAAGACCAGCCTGGGCAATAGAGTGAGATCCTATCTCATTAAAAAAAAAGAAAAGAAAGCAGAGAAGGTAAGTATACAGAATATAACGGTAGTTTAGATTTCTTAACAAATTTTCATCTTTACTTTCATGATCAAACTATACACATAGATGAATAAGTGAAGAGCATGACATTACTTTTGGAGAATTTCATTATAAGATTTCTTAAAAATCAAATAAAATTGAATTACACATTTATAAAGCTGATTATTTTTACTGTCAAATATGATAATCTTGATAATCATATAAAAAAGAAAAAGATAAAATGGTTTAAAAGATACAATCATTTATAAAACATTGAACAATTAACTTCAGAGCTTTTGATTGTTGGCCTCTCCAAATAATACAACAGAAATAAAAACACTTCACAAGAGGTAAATTTTTAAAAAGATGTTATTAAAAAGAAACAAGATTTCCAGCCTGGCCAGTTATGGCAGACCAGACGTGCTGAATGAATCTTTTGATTGACACAATTTTAGTTTAAAACTATAATTTTTAAAAAATACTATCGAGCTGACACAAAAGGCACAATTTCAAAGTGGCTAAAAACAAAAAAGGGAAACCATCAGAGGCCTCCAAGCACCAAAGTAATTGACCATCTTATACCAGCAGGCTTTCCGCTGAATTCCAGAGAACCTGGGCTTTCACCTTACTGGCTGCACAGGAGACAGGGAAGAAAATAAAGCCCAGGGCCTCCAAATGGAGATTCTCACAAAAGATTCTTGGTTAAAGCGAGGATCCCCAACAGCTCACTCTCAGTGCAAGGTGAAATGAGAAACAAAACGAAACACCGTTCAGATGAAGACAAAGGAAAGTCACTTATGTCAACCTTAATCCTCAGTAGGAGACAAAATTTTCTCCCCTCAGAATTTGTTACCATGAATGAAATTCATGTTATCTTGTAATACAAAAATATGTTGCAGAGACTATAAATTAAAGTCCCAGGTTGGCAATGCCTCCAGGCAACTGGCACAGGTAGACACAATCTTCTCTGGAAGCATCAACCCAGGCCTCAAAGAATTTTTATATATAAAATTCTGAGCAAAACAAGCATCTCACAAGGAAAGAAGGCAAACCATAAGTTAGTCTCAACAGAAACAGATGGCAGAATCAGACTCACAAAGGCTTTAGATACTGAATTATTTAACACAAAATAAAAGATAATACTTTAAATATTTAAAGACATAAAAGAAAAATTTGAAAATATGGGGAAAGAATTGCAATGGTAACTTGCAAGCAGATTTGAAAAAAGAAAAAAAGACAATTTTTATAATTTTACAACTTTATGGCCGGATTAAGCAGCAGAATAAACATAGCTGAAGAGAGAATCAAGAAACAGAATGATGGGTCTAAAGATATCCAAAATATAGTCTAGAGTGACAAGTTGTGAGAAATATGAGAGCGCATGGGAAAGAAAATGAGAAGGTCCAACATACTACTAAACAGACTTTCAGAAGGAGCTAAGAAAAATAATAAAGGAGAAACTATTTTAATTATAATAAATAAGAATTGTAAAGAATTGATCAACTCCCAGATACAGAAAAATCCGTAATGCCAAACAAAAAGGATAAACAGGATAAACAAAAAGAAATCTCTACCTAGACATGATAGTGAAACAATAATATGAATTAGTTAGACTCACAGGTGACGTCTCATCAACAATGACAGAAGCCAAAAACAGCACAACGATACTGTCAATATGCAGGGGGAAAATATCTTTAAACCTAAAATTCTACACCCAGTAAAGTTATCATTGGAAAAGACAAAAACAAAGAGTTTGTTACCCAACAGACCCTTTCTAAAAGAAATTTTATATACATGAAATTTTAAAAATGATCCCAAGTACAAATTCTGAGGGTTAATGAGTAAAGACACTGGGAAATATGAGAGTAACATTACAATATAAAACTATTACAATAATATCAAATTTATAGGAGAAATAAAATACAGACTGGACAACTCAGTTTCTAATGATTTTCTATTATTGAGAAAGGATAAAAATCATTAACTTTAGATTTTGCCAAGTATCAATGTTAAATTATCTACAGTAATTACTAAGAAGCATATTCATAGACTATAACTTCTACACAAGTAGAGGCAGTAAACAGAATGAAAAAAAAAAAAAAACAGAGGGTGGGAATATAGCCAGAATAAAGTCAAGAAATAAAAATCACTTATTAAGTACAAAAAAGTGAATAGAAAACAAATAAAATAACAAAAATATCATCAGTGTATATCAGTAATTACAATAAATGCAAATGAGTAAGACTCTCAGGTTAAAAGAAAGATTGTCAGATTTTTTTAAAAAAGTAAAACCTAGGCCAGGCGCGGTGGCTCACGCCTGTAATCCCAGCACTTTGGGAGGCCGAGGCGGGCAGATCACAAGGTCAGGAGATCAAGACCACCCTGGCTAACATAGTGAAAACCCGTCTCTACTAAAAATACAAAATATTAGCCGGGCGTGGTGGTGGGTGCCTGTAGTCCCAGCTACTCGGGAGGCTGAGGCAGGAGGATGGCGTGAACCCGGGAGATGGAGTTTGCAGTGAGCCAAGATCGTGCCACTGCACTCCAGCCTGGGCGACAGAGCAAGACTCCGTCTCAAAAAAAAAAAAAAAGGAAAACCTAACTATATGCCATATAGAAATATTCTAAAAACATAAGAACATAGAAAGGTTACAAGTCAATGGACAGAAAAAGATATATTCGGCAAATACTTAACCAAAAGAAAGTTGGTATAAGGTAAAAAAATATATATTATTATGAAAGCAACACCACTTACATTAATGCCAAACAATTAAATACATAGGTATAAATCTAACAAAACATGTACAAAGTCTCTATGAGGAAAACTATAAAACTCTGATGGAAGAAATCAAAGAAGATATAAATAAATGGAGAGATAGTCCATGTTTATAGGTAAAAAGACTAAATATTAACATGTCAGTTCTTCCCAACTTGATCTATATAGTCAATGCAATCCCAATTAAAATCCCAGCAAGTTATTTTATGGATATTGACAAACTGATTATGAAGTTTATATACACAGGTGAAAGGCCTAGAATAACCAACACAACATTGAAGAAGCAGATCAAAACCAGAGGATTGACACTACTCAACCTGAAGAATTACTATAAAGCTACAGTAATCAAGACAGTGTGGTACTGGCAAAAGATGAGACAAATAGATCAATGAAACAGAACGGAGAGCCCAGAAATAGCCCAATATAAATTAGTCAACTGATCTTTGAAAAAAGAGCAAAGGCAATTCAATGGAAAAAAGACAGTCTTTTCAACACCTAATACTCGAACAACTGGACATTCACATGTGAAAAAAAAAAATCTAGACACAGACCCTCACATCTTACCCAAAAATTAACTCAAAATGGATCATAGATCTTATAAGACACAAAACTATAAAACTCCTAGAAGATAACACAGGACAAAAATCAGAGTGATCTTGGGTTTGATGATGACTTTTAGATAAAACACCAAAGCACAATTCACAAAATAAAAAACTGATAACTCGGACTTCATTAAAACTAAAAGCTTCTGCTCTGTGAAATACACTGTTAAGAGAATGAAAAGACAAGTCACAGACTGGGGGAAATAGTTGCAAAACACATGTCTGATACATGTTTGGTATTCAAAATATACAAAGAACAACAAGAAAATAGCAAACAGAATTTTAAAATGAGCAGAAGATGTGAACAGGCACATCATCAAAGAAGATACAGCACACTGTTATTGGGACACTGTTGTATGCTGTTGGGAATAGGCAGTAGTTACAGCCATCATGGAAAAACAGGATGGAGTTTCTTCAAAAAACTAAAAATAGAACTATCATATAATCCAGCAATTCCACTGCTGGTATATATCCAAAAGAAAGGAAATCAGTACATTGAAGAGATAGCTGCACTCTCATGTTTACTGAAGCACGATTCCCAACAGCCAAGATATAGAATCAACCTAAGTGTCCACCAATGGATGAATGGAGAAAGAAAATATAGTATATATACATAATACAGTGGAATATTATTCCACCATAAAAAGAAGGAAATCCTGTCACTTGCAGCAACATGGATGGAACTGGAGGTTAAGTGAAATACGCCAGGCACAGAAAGACAAATATCACACGTTCTCACTCATGTGCAGGAGCTAAAACAGTGGATCTTGTGAAGGTAGAGAGTAGAATGATTAGCCTCAAAGGCTGGGAGGTGTGTGTGGGTGGGAAGGGGGATAAAGAGAGGTTGGCTAATGGGCACAAACATGCAGTTAAATAGAAGGGATAAGTTCTAGTATTCAATAGCACAGGGGGAAAATTACGGGTAACAACATTGTATATTTAAGTATATTTAAAAATAGCTAGGAGAGAAGAATTATAACATTCCCAACACAAAGAAAAGATCGATGTTTGAGGTGATAGATATCCCAATTACCCTGACTTAATGATTACACATTGTATACGTGCATCAAATTATCACATGTACCCCAAAAATATGTACAACTACGTCAATAAAAAATACAAAAAAGAGATGGCAAATAAATATATGAAAAGACAGTCAGCATCTGTTACAGGCTGAATTTTGCACCCCAAAAACTCATATGCTGAAGTCCTAACCTCCTGGCATTTCAGAATGTGACTATATTTGGAGATAATTATGGTAAAATGAGGTCATATGTAATTGGAAGTAATTAAGTTAAATGAGGTCACATGGATAGGCTCTAATCCAACATGACTAGTGTCTTTATGAGGAGAGTGGGACACACACACACACACACACACACACACACACACACACACACACACAGTGAAAAAGACCGCATGAAAACACCAGAGATAGAAGGCCATCTACAAGCCATAGAGAAAGGCCTTAGAATAAACCAAACCTGCCAACACCTTGATCTCAGACTTCTAGAGCCTCCGAAATTGTGAGAAAATAAATTTCTGTGTTTCAACCACCCAGTCTGTGGTACTTTGTCACAGCATCCCTAGCAACTAATACATCATCAAACATCCTTAGAAAATTCCAAATTAAAACACTAGGGAATTTCAAATTAAAACAACACACCTATTAGGGTGGGCCATAAAATTAATCTCAACAATTATTTAAGGATTGGTATCATACAAATCATTTTTTCATAGATGGTTATCCATGCAAAAAAAAAAAAGAAATTAGATACTTACCATACACAAAATCAATTCTGAGTAAACTGACACATGGGAAACACAAAAATATAAATCTTTTAGAAAACAATATAAGAAAATATCTTCATAATTTCAATTTTAAGAAAAGATTTCTTAAAACAAAAAGTGCAGGCTGGGCGTGGTGGCTCACACCTGTAATCCCAGCACTTTGGGAGGCCAAGGCAGGCGGATCATGAGGTCAGGAGATGGAGACCATCCTGGCTAACACGATGAAACCCCGTCTCTACTAAAAATACAAAAAATTAGCCGGGCGTGGTGGCAGGTGCTTGTAGTGCCAGCTACTTGGGAGGCTGAGGCAGGAGAATGGTGTGAACCTGGGAGGCGGAGCTTGCGGTGAGCCAAGATCGCACCACTGCACTCCAGCCTGGGCAACAGAGAGAGACTCGTCTCAAAAAAAAAAAAAAAAAAAAAAAAAAAAAGGGCAAACCATAACCTGTTTTGCTATTTTGACTACAAAAAATTAAGGAGCTCTGCCAGTCTAAAGACACCAAAAACAATAAATAAAAATATTAAAAGACAAGTAATGACCTCGGCAAGATATTTGCCACACATGAAATTGACAAAATGTTCCCAAAATACACAAAGAAGCCTACAAATTAATAAGATAAAAGATAAACTACCCTCTGAAAATGGGCAAGAAACTTGAACAGGTACTTCATAATAGAGGAAATGCATATGGCCCATAAGCATGAAAACAGGTTCATCCTCATTTGTAATCCAGAAAATGCAAATTAAAACCATAATGAAATACCATTTAAGCCCTTCAGATAGGCAAAGACTTCTAAATCAAACAAGGTAAGTACTAATGAGGTGAGGAGAAGCAGAGGCTCTGGTCCATGGCAGATAGAGTATGCAATACAGACAGACAGGCATTACCTAGGAAGGTGGAGGACGCAGGTATCCCACACCTGGGAATCCTAGAGAAACTTCCTCAAGTGTGCACAAGAACATAGTTTGTAATAGAAAAGACACAGGATATAACCCAAATAACCATCAATTATGGAATGAATATTTCAACGGAATGCTAAATAACAAAATAGCAAACAAACAAAACTGAACACATATTATTTATTGATATATCTATATATGGGTGACAAAAATAAAGAGAATCAAGGGAATAATTAATGTACAATTCAAGACTCCTCCACCTGAGGATGGGGTATATGAAGAGCAAGGCAGATGAGATGGGATGGGGTACTCAGGGGTTTCTACAGGTCAGGTTATCATCTTCTTCAGCCAGGGGACAGGTAACAGATGTTTGTTCTATTATTACAAAAACTATACAAATACAGTTTATAGACCCTTTTGTATACAATACCTCATAATAAAAATTTTTCAATAAATGAAAGCAAAGAAATATTGATTAGGAACACAAAACTGTGTAGTCTTACCAGGATAAGAATGGTTCTGTTTATTTGAAGAAATTTCTGAAAGGGTATCCAGGGAATCTGTTACTCTATGAATAAAACAAAGGACATCTCGTTAGAAGTAGCTGGTCTTCAGGTTTAAGACTGGTTATCAACTAAGTTTTTCACACCAATTGTAGTCATTCATCAGACAAATATTTATGGAGGGTCCATTTTAAGCCAGGAATGAACTTCCATCTGGCATGGAAGAAAAACAATAATTAAATAGAAGAGGTTCTCACTATCTAAAGATAATTAGTGTAGAAAAAAATTCAAGTGAATTCACCTAAAATATGGACCTGAATTTCTTTGTAACCTCATCTTCAAAGGTGAAACTAAAAAATATGAAAATAAGTTTATTTTATATTAAACTTAACAAATGTTAGATTAATATTGTGAAAAAGGCACTAATTCTTAAGCTGAAAGAAAAAGATATTGGCTGAGTTTGTGTGAGTGATTTTTCTGGTAAAACTATATGGCTAATACAATTCAACATCTTTTACTTTATACTTGACTCTAAGCCACAATTATAAAGGTCACTTTCCCAGTGGATTTTCCTGCATTTTTTGATATTCAAATCATTCTTTATCTTTAAAAAGTCAATCCTGACAGGCTCATTTTCTTTCAACTGTTTAGTGACCTAAATCTGGAAAGCCTTCATTTGTCAATCACTTCCTCCAGCATATCTTATTACCATCAAGAAATCCTTCAACTCTTGAAATATTTGCAATTTCACATTACAATTCATAGGCATCATTTTTACATGATATACAACATACTGCAATGAGAGACTGATGGACACAAAGAATATGATTTTATGAAGAGAATGGATATTTGAATGAAGTAGTAACAGACAGTTGAGAGGGAGTGAATTCTAGAAGTAATCAGTTCATTAGTAGTAAGTGCCTAATAATAGTAAGAACTAAGAAAGTGAATATTATGCTAATGAAGATTACTTGAGCAGTGTGTGTGTGTGTGTGTGTGTGTGTGTGTGTCTGTGTGTGTATGTGATTAACCTAGTCAGTGAGTTTTCCTAGAGTTTCTCTAAAGAAGTTTTGACTGATTCATATATTAGCAGAAGAAAGGTATTAAATAAGTGAAAGTTAGGCAATAGTAGGCGGGTGTAGAAAGCCATCCAAGCAGAAAAAATAACATGTGCAAAGATTCTGGGATAGGAAGCACATTTTACAAACAGAAAGGGGTGGGGGGAAAGGCCAGCCATAGTCCTGAGAAGGAAGAAGATGCAAGGTGTGATTGTGACTGGACACTACCTTATTAAGACTGTCCTCAAGCAGTCCCTAGTTTAAAATTCTTCCATCTTGAAGATCAGTGGTATCTTTCAAGAGTTCCAAAGCTGGTTCAGATTAGAAACGCCTCAAAATCAGGGACCATGTCTGTTTTATTCGCTTATAGAATGCCTAGCACAGCATAAGTGCTAAAAGACACTTAATAGTATTTGATGATGATGAATGAGACAATCAGAAGATGACAGGAAGACAGCTGGATTGAGATAGCAGTTCATTTAGAGACAGCCCTATTTTTTTTTTTTTGAAGAAGAGGGGGCTGCTTTTTAAATGCACCACCTTAAAGAAAACCAAATAGAAGGCAATCAAAAAAAAGTAAAAAACGTGTGCTCCAGAAACAAAGCAAGAAGGAAAAGATGAAACCATGAGAAAGTGGCTTGACAACGTAAAGGAGGAGGAAAAAGCTGTTACAGCATAAAACCACTGAACTAGGAATCAGATTGGATCAATATTTACCGTGCCTAAAATATGCCAAACTATGTACTCTGAGTAATCAAACATGAAAAGCAGAATCCCAGTCCTCATGACTAGGAAACAAACAAAACTTGTAAGAGACTGCTGCAATGTTTTGATGAAGATATGCCCAAAGTAACATGAGAACACAGAAGATTCACTGGTGACTCAGCATGCATTTTACTCCCAAACCAATTATTTACAAGATGTATGTCCTGACGAAGGTCCCTGAAGCTCTTCTAACCGTTATAGGGTTACGGTTAAGGGCACACATGCTGATACTAGACTACCTGGGTTCAAATCCCCAGCTGGGAGCACAGCACATGTCACCCCTTGTGACTTACTTTCCTCATTGAGGGAACATGGTGCCTGCACCACAGGGTTACTGGAGAGCAGTAAACAGGTTAATACATGAAGGGCCCTGCAAACAGACCCCAGCATGTATAAGCACTATTCGTAGTTACTGCTTCCTTTTCTTCATTTATAAAACAAATACAAAAAAAAAAGAAAGAAAGAAAGAACAAACCATCTAAAAGCAAGGGCTTACAGAAAAAACAATTACAAAGTAACACACCTGGGCTGAGTCCAGCTCCTTGGCTAATTAGCTGTATGACTTTAGCTAAATCACTTATCTCTTTGAAACCCGTTTCTTCATCTGCAAAATGGGAATGATCCTAATAACTTACAGCTCGCAGGGTCTGGGGGAATTAATGAGGTATGCATCTAAAGCACACTGTACAGAGCCCACCCACTCACTAAATGCTCAACAAATGTTTGTAATAGTTATTATTCTCCAGCTTACCTGATCAATATTAGGATCAAATGAAACAACACTTAAGTGAAAATACTTTATAAACTACAAAGTATTGTATGTTAAATTCTGTTATCACCATAAATATGAAGAAAATTATGTCAAGTATATCATAGAAGGAAATTAATACTAAACAAATATGTAATGATTCACTCAGAAAAAGAAATTGAGGGAGAAATGGATGTAAAACTTCAATCTGCCAGGAGATAGTCACAACAGTCTAGTTGTAAGGGAAAACTAGACAAGACTCCCAGATTGCGATCGTAGGTCTAGTCTCATGAATGTGATTATGCCATATATGTTATCTCTCATTTAAAGATTAGTATCCCATTTCCCATCCGCTAAAAGGCACACCAAGCAGCTTCTTCCAGAGCATAAGAGAAGCCATTTCACATAATGATACCTGGAATTTTATGAGGACTTTGTTTCTGCTCAACTTATTTTTTAAAACCGGATGAGGTGGTATGAAAGATACTATCTTAAGAAGAAACACCAAGGAGATATATTATATAAAAATCCTTGAAGTTTCACTTCCCCCAAAGATCTACTGCCTATCTATTTTTGAAAACTAAAGAAATCAGAGGAAAAAGCCATTTTGGTTCCATTAGGTTTGTAGGAGAATGAATGGGGTGCCTGCTGGCAGGAAATTTAATGTAGTTAGGATGTGACTGAAGCAATCAGAGAGCATTTTTACTTTTGTTTGCATGACAGATTAAGCTTGCTGCTCTCACTGTACTTAGCTGCAAACGCCACTTCTAATAGCCTACACATACTCATAGGGTTTGCAAATGAGGAATAAAGGAGGTTTTTAAAATTGCAAATCCTCAGCAAAGCAAATTTAGCTTTCCATGAGCCTTCTCTCTGAAGAAGGTGGTTGGTTAACCCCTTGAAAGAAGACATGAGCTACAATCAGAGCATATCTTTAATATAAAATTAGTGTCTCTATTAACCACTGCAGATTACAAAAAGTTTCTGTAAATAAACATAAATTTCATTCTCTCACCTTTGCACCCTGGATGGGGGAGCAAATATTCCATATCTTGGAGAACAGCTAAAATACTGCACACCTCCAACTGAACCATCATTCTTGCCATGGGGTTTTTCAAGCTCTATACCATACCAATATCCTAGAACATGAATATTGCATTTCAAAAGCATCTGTACTTTATCCAAAACTCTTATGCTACTATACAAAACCAAAGTCGAGGTGTTTTAACATTTCCATAAATGACCAAAATGAGGGAAGATCATGATACTCATTAAGATTTCAAATTATAAAATTGTAAACTTTGAAAATTCAAAAAGTGAACAGGAAAAACATTTTACAAGCATAATTGCAGAGCAGTACATTAAAGGAGGAAAATAAAATGCACAAACACAAATTTGGCAAGAATTGGCAATTGTGTAAACAGTATATGACCAAAATATATCTAAAAGCTGCAGTGAAAAACTGTTCTTGACTTGGTAATATAGTGTTTCAGTGAAAGAAGTGAAACATAATATTGAGATTTAAAAATCATAAAATGAACATGCAATCTTTTCATCTTACTCACCTAACATTAGAACACCACAAACAGTGCTCAAATAATTAAAGAAGGACAAAAATATTATAGAAAATACCACTAGACATCATGATGAGTGCTTTTTCTTTTCTTTTTTCCACCCAAGGTAAAAAGAAAAATCTTTTTTTTTTTACCTAAATGAAAAGGTTTAGGTTAGCTAATAGGGAGAATTATTTTAAAGACTTTTTGTATTTAAAAGGACCTACTCTGAAGGAAATAACAGGATTTCCTTTTCTAGACAGCCTAAAATTAAAGTAGCAAGGTTGCTTTAAATGTGGTTTTACCCAATATAAGGTAAATGGACACAAAATCCTAAAATAAGGATTTTCTAATTGAGGGTGCCTCAAGACCAATTAGAAGTATCTAGTAGTCCATTTACTTGTGATTTAAAAGGAGTGTACAGTAGTAATTGGATTTGGTCTCTTATAATCAGTATCAAGTAAAAAAACAGGAGATAGATATCAAGAAACTTATTACAAATTACAAAAATAGTGTTTCTTCCAGATTACTAGTTCAAAGAGTTAATTATATGCCTTCTAAAAAACCAACTCACAAGTTCTTAATTTTTTTCCTCTATGTATAAAAAGATGATACCTGAGTCCATTTCCTACTATGTAATACAAGTAATGTTACAAAACTATTGTTAAGCTGCACTAACGCTCTGAACATAGGTCATCACATTTCCACATGTCCTAAACCAGGTTAGTCTGGTTGCCACTGTTATTTCTCAGTGCTACAGTTACAATTTTCCAAGTTTTACTTGCTTCTGCCTTTTATGCTTTCCTATATAATTTTTGCATTTTCCCATTTTAATTTACCATATAATTGCTAATGTTAACCATGTAACTCTTGGAAACATGTAGCATACAGCAGAAATACATATGACAAGTGTTAACAATAAAGACTACACTTTGGCAGTGGTGTGGTATGGATATCTTCCCATTTAAATGTTAATTTTCTTTCCAAGGTGGCACTGATAAAAAATGCTGATGAGACCAAATATGACCTCCCTCAAATCTAGATCTTATAACCTCCAAATACTTAAGATATTACCACTGTTCTGTAGCAGTGATTAATTTTTAATGCTACTACTTCCTTACAGGACAGAATGTTTTTAACAAAAAAGTTTCCACTTTTTATTATATTTGCTTACTACTTCCCAAATTTCTAAATGCTTTACATTAGGAATTTAAAAACTGAAATCAACCTAAAATGAAGAATTATATCCAAAGAATCAAACCATTCTATCTTGGTTTAATAACATCAGAGAAAGGGAACTCAAAAGACAAATAGTAATTGTAAAAAAATAACCTACCTGTGCGGTTAAGTTTTTATTTGAATCCTATATTAAGTATATCCTAACTAATCTCAATTACTACCTGGAGACCTAAGAAAGTCATGAATTATAAAACACCTAACTCAAATCACGCAGTTGGCTTGCAATTATAAGTGGTATTAGTGAAACAAGACTGTGTTGGGAGACAGTCGCCTATGGTCCTGTCATGTTTCCGCATGTCTTATGGGTAGAGGCAGTGACTACTTTCGTTCTAGACTACCTTTTCATAAACATCTGTATAGGGGACAGCCTTGGAGGATAGAGCTAGCATCTCCCACCAGAGCAAATGGCAGGGATGTGTACCATAAGTTCAAAGATTCAGATTCCCTAAGCTCTAGGGTCCTCTCCTGGAACAAAAAACACTGGCTGTGCAGGTGACACCTGGCTCGCTCGCTCTCACCCTGTGGGAATTGGCACTAAGGGAATAATAGTTCAAGAAAATGCTGATACTCTGGCTACTGCTATGACTGTGAGTACTAGAGTGCTTTGTCTCAAACCTGTGATGACTCTAGTACTCACAGTATCTTCCACCAACATCTATGAAACTGTGGCAGGCGAATTTGTTAGCTTGCAAATAGGGTAAAATCTCAGATCCCTCATAGTTCTTGGCTAAATGCTACAAACTTTTTTTTTTTTAATCAATGTTCTAGATAACCTTTTCCTAAAATGCTGCAATGCCACCATGTGTTAAAATAGCATATTGCTATCTAAACATACAAACTTGGTTTTGTTCAACCGACTTCTGTTTAAAATTATAATCATTGACAACACAAAAGAAAGCAATCTGGCTGGGCACGGTGGCTCACACCTGTAATCCCAGCACTTTGGGAGGCCAAGGCGGGCAGATCACCTGAGTTTGGGAGTTCGAGACCAGCCTGGCCAACATGGAGAAATACCATCTCTACTAAAAATACAAAATTAGCGGGGCGTGGTGGCGCATGCCTGTAATCCCACCTACTCGGGAGGCTGAGGCAGGAGAACCGCTTGAACCCAGGAGGCAGAGGTTGCGGTGAGCTGAGATCATGCCATTGCACTCCAGCCTGGGCAACAAGAGCGAAGCTCCGTCTCAAAAAAAAAAATAGAAAGTAATCTTTACTTTTGGAAACAATGTTACGTATAGATTGGAATGAATATATAAATACACAAACATGTATTTTTAAGGGCCCCAAAAACATGTATTTTGAGCCCTTTTGTGTGCTTTTCTCTGCAAGCCACTCTTTTAAAAAGGTATACAATTAACTCATTATTTACTACTTATTTTAAAGATTATCCGTAGCAAAAATCTAATCCTAAAATGTTTGCCTGTCACTTAGCACACCCAGCAATCAGTAAGAGTAAAATTGGAGAATGACAACTAATTTTTAACACCGACCATTTAAAACACAAATGGCAAGAAAAAAATGTATGGGTAACCATCCACGTGAGTAAACAGTCTGAGTTTTCATCATCATTTCACATTTTCTGTACTATAGCTGCCATCCACAAAAACTGTTCATCAAGATTTCTCTACAATTAAATTCTATTTACATGTAAAATTTTAAACCTTTTGTACTCTAAAGAATTCAAGTTAAGAAAATATGCAGATGAGTTACCTGGAGCGAAGTTTGTTGTCCCAAAGAACCTAATGGTGCCCAGTCTCTGTCCTACCACTAACACTCTCTCTCCGAGGCGGAGTTCCCCCTCGCAACGGCTATTATTTGCTGTAGATGTTGCTGAGGAATTCAAACCTGTTTAAGTCAGGGAGGGATACAGGGGCAGGGCAGGAAAAGAGGAGAAAAAACAAAGGGAGAAAAACTCAAAAAGCACATTAGCCAAAAAATCACACTAGGTATTCTAACTAGTCTAGTTAGTTGGTGATTTTGATATCTGATGCCTTTCATCACATAAGTCATCTACAGTTGTGTTTCTCACATGTGAGGTCAAGCTGCTCAAAGGAAATGTGAAGAGTTTCCTGGGAAAATTACTGCCATGGGAAATTCACAAAACCTGATCCCTGGTAAACTACCAACTCTTCCAAGATTGCCTGCAGCATCTCTACTAGAACAGGGGTCACAGCAAACTGTTTCTGCAAATTGCTGGACAGTAAATATGTTAGGATTTGCTAGCCATACCACCTCTGCCACAACTATTGAACTCTGCTGTTGCAGCATGAAAGTAGATATAGACAATATATTTTTTTCAAATGTGCATGGCTGCATTCCAAAGAACTTTATTTACAAAAACAAGTGGTAGGTCAGATTTGGCCCATGGGCCATAGTTTGACAATTTCTATTCTACTAAAATACTAGAATTATAGTATTAATAGTTCACTTAGACTCAGTGTAAATTATATAAAAAGTCATGTGATTTGACTTTTTTTTTTTTTTTTTTTTTTTTAAAGAAACAGGGTCTTGCTGTGTTGACCAAGCTGGTCTCAAACTCCTGGGCTTGAGTGATCCTCCCACCTCAGCTTCCCAAAGTGCTAAGATAACAGGCATGAGCCACTGTGACCAGCCAAAAGTAGTGTGATTTGAAGGTTAAATTGCTATACGGTTCTAATTATCCTAAAGTGATTTTGTTATTAAGAACAAAACCACTGCCCTGTCAACCTGATTCAAAACTAAACCTTGAAATGCCCACTATTAAACATAGAAGTCCTAGAGAAATATGATCTAGAAAGCTGTTCAAATATAACAGCTGAAAGAGAAGAAGTGGGTGCTTGAGCCTTGTCCCATCAGTACATAAACAAAGATTTGAAGAGCTGCCATCTGAGAGGGAGTAGAGAACTCTGGAGGAGGGCATGGGATGGAGGGTAAGTCATACTGTGAAAAAAGAAGAAATCAAAAACACAGCAACTAAACAAGGAAAATAAACCCATGGAGAAGGTCTGGATTATACCAGTAAGTCCGAGGCCCTCATCATAACCAATATTCTATAGCACTTCATAGTTTACAAAGTGCTTTTCCTAAAAATTATGCTGAAAAATAAGATACAAACTCAGGAATTAACTAAGACACACTGTTAACAGCCAGTAAGTGGTACACCTAGATTAAAACCAAGACTCTGTGATCAGAAATCCTCAGGCCCGTCCCCTTGTCGCCTGTAGACAATGAACCAAAGATGGCAAGTTCAACAGTGGGACACAGGCTGGGCATGATGGCTCATGCCTGTAAATCCCAGCACTTTAGGAGGCCAAGGTAGGAAGATCACCTGGGTCCAGGAGTTGAAGGCTGCAGTCACTATGATTGCAACACTGCACCCCAGCCTGGGCGACACAGCAAGACCTTGTCTTTAATAAAAAATAAAAAGTAAATAACAATGGGATATGATGAGGCCGAGGTCCCTACCTTTCCCATTCCCCGAATCCTTTATTTCCACTCTTCTTTCTCTAATTTTTTAACCTAACTTTCCATTATTGTTCGTTCTCTGCAGTCTACATCTCCCTCAAATGCAAATCTATAAAACAAGTGGAATATCTACTCACTAGAGAAACATGTTTTAAGTACATGTCTCTGGGGTTCCCAACACAGACTTTCCCATATCTCCCATTCTCGGCCCATCTCCCTCTTTGAAAGGTCCTCTTTCTCACTCTGATAACTCTCTTCATCTTCACTGTTGTTTAAGTCGACATAACCCTCAAATTTATTTTTTTAAATGGTAAATATATAGGCACGCTAGACTACTTTGTTTAGAAGGTTAAAAAAAAAAAAGTAATTCCATACCCATGTATAAATTTTAAAATCAAGTAAATGTCAAAAGTGCAAATACCAAATGAAGGGGGCCTTAAAATGTGAATGAAATTTGGACAAACAGGATGGCTGTGTCAGCACTGTACCTTCTCACCTCTGCTCCTCACAACATAAAGAAAAACTGGTTGGGGTATGGAGAGAGGAAGCCACTCAGAGAATAAATATTCCAGGCAAACAATTTCAGGGAAAACTTTCAGGTTCTCTACTTTTAGGGTCCCAGTTTTTAGGCTTATTATGTCAATGTTATTGTTGAGAGCTTTGGAGGTTTCTTCCCATCAAGTATTTTTTTAGAAATCTGTCATGAATATTTTCCATAATAAAATGTTGGTTCACTACAAGAACTATTAATAGAAGCACTAAAAAAAGAATCTGGTAATAAAGAGGTTCATGAAGAACGTATTTTGCCAAGATGGCTTTTGCCTTTCTGGACAAGTTCGCTATATAGGCAAATAAGTGAACTGCAACAGACAAAATCTATGTCATTTCGAAAAGAAGTCTGATAAAGTGTTTTACGTATCTTTACAAATAACTGAAGAAATGTGGACTGAGTGAGATTATGCAGGTTCACGGCTAGTTAAAAAGCCATATCAAAACTGGCTGGTATTGCCATCCTGGGAGAGGACCCTCTGACCTTCTCCTAGGTTTTAAGCAAACATAGTTTTAAAACAATCACTTGAATAAAAACACAGAAAGCATGCTTTTTAAATATGAAGATGACACAAAGGCCTGTGAAGAAGCTAAATTCAGATGAGGTAAAACCACTAAGAATGAATTACATGAAAATAAATGCAAAGTCTTATATCTGAGACGGCAAAACAAAGAGACCTTAAGGCTTAAGGTTCGGGGGAGGTGGGGAAGAGTAAAAGTAGTTCAATCTGATTGAAGTAAAGGGTTCCTTCTACACATTTAAAAAGAGCAAATCTACTTACAAACAAACCAAGATAAAAAACACCAAGAAAGCCTGGTTGAAAAAGCCATAGATACCAGCACTGGCTCTGGATGAAAGGGAAGGGCTTTTGCTCATTGTCTTCTTGTTACTGCTGATTGCATTCTGTTTCTTGGGGTAGCTCTGTCTGTGTTCCAAAGAAGATGTAGAGGAGCAGCTGCTGACAGATCCAAGCAGGGCAACTGTAACAGATAAAGAACGTGTCAAACGGTGGAAAATAAGATGTGGACCAAGAAGCAGCTTGTCAAGGCAAATCTTTCTGAAATTCTTCATTTAACTTCCTCAATTATGGATTATCTAGTGTCAAATTAAATGCCTAATTTCATCCAAATAGCAATTGTAGTTTATATATAAAAGATTTTATAACACAAGCAATAATATTTTAAGGATTCCCACGGTAAGATCACAATCTTATGTAAGAGGTATCACCACATCAATTGATGTGAACTGACTACCTAATCTAATGACCATCAGTCACCTCTCACCTTAGATGACATAGTAGAGTCCCCTTTTATACAAAAATTAAACATGATATTAATATGTTTTAAGGCAACAAAAGTTTAATATTAAGACATTTTGAGTTAAACCAGAAGGCAAGAAGGAATACTCATGCTCAATTCATCTAATGATTTGATAGCTAAAGGCAAATGAAACATTTGTGTAGAGTGCTCTATATTATGGAATTTCCGTTTATTTTCTTAAATCTAGTCCAGTAGTTATCTAATTTAAGTAAAAGAATCATAATGCAGTACTTTACACACAAAAAATATAATGTATATAGCTTGCTATGAGCTGCTTCAGTGATTTCCAAGTTTAATTTTTACTATAATTTTTCCCTTGCCAACTTTAAAACTTAACCTCCATATAAACTGTTTTCCTACCATATTTTAAAGTTCCATCAAAAGTTAAATTTTGAGAAACAGAGGTTACAAGGTATATTACCATCTTTCTCTGTCACAGTTTTAAGTTCTTCACCAGGAGGCAATGAAAGTGTTGACTCAGAAGCACTATCTTTTTTTGATGTCATTAATCCTTGGACACAAAAATAAAACACTTTAAGCAAGAATTTTAACATTAAACATAAAATGTATTTTTTAAAGTACATGCATCCCTCATTATCGAAATCTCACTCACTTCTGAAAACATATTGGATAACAACTGCACAGACATATGAGGACATGTTTTGGTATAAGCACTAGCATACGAGAAGGAGACAGTAACAGTGGCTACAAAGATCAATTAATGTCTCATCAAGATGATCACATTCTGAGATGGGTCCTAAGGGACAGGTCAGATTTCTTCCTGAGAATACTAGCCGTATGGTCAGGAAGAACTGAGGGCAGGCATTCTTGATGGACAAAAAGAAAATCTTAAGACACAGAAAATAGTGAGTAGCTTGGCTGGAACAGAGTACTTATGAAATGTAGGAAAAGCAAGACTAGACAGACAGGTCACAGTAACACTTCAGACAGGGATGCCAGTGCCCAGCTAAGGACTGAGAACTCTTCTGTAAAGAAGGAGCCTCTGCTGGGCTTTGAAAAGGAATACTGGCATGAACAGAGTCTAGTTAAATAACACTCTCCTGACAGCAGGGCTGCAACGAAACCACAGCGGGAGAGGCTGGAAGCAGGGACCAGTCAGACATTATTAGCATAGTCCAAGCATGAGAGCCTGAACTCCAACAGCAGAAACTGAATGAAGAGGGTGGAGAGGAGACATTTTGTGAAGGCAACCTGAAGAGTAAATTTTTATTTTTCATTACATTTTTCAGTTATAAAATATTTTCTTTAAAGTTTTTATAAAAAATAATACAAGGAGATTCCCTGTACATTTTGACTAGGTTTCCTCCAAAGGTAATGTTTTGCAAAACTGTGGTATAATAAGTATAATATGTCAACCAGGATGTTGGCAGTGATACAATTCACCAGTCTGAGATTTCCACAGTTCTGCTTGTACTCTTGTGTGTGTGTGTGTGTGTGTATACACTTGGGTGTATCATTTGGTTGTTTTTCATATCTTCTATTTCTTGGCTGAAACTTTCTTTTCATTTGTTTCAAGAGTGTTCACGTTTGATTCTTTTTTTTGTTCAGAAACAGGGTCTTGTTCTGTTAGCCAGGCTGTAGTGCAGTGGCACAATCATAGCCCATTGCAGCCTAAACTCCTGGACTCAAGTGATCCTCCTGCCTCAGCCTCTAGAGTAGCTGGGACTACAGGTGTGCACCACAATGCCCAGCTACACCCTTAATTCTTGGAGTGTGGTTACATTACTTAAAATCTTTATGTGTTCATTGCAATGTCCATGTCATCTCAAAGCTGCTATGCTTGGACTGTCTTTTTCCTTGTAAGAGGTGTTGACTTTTTCATATTTTGGGTAATTTTAAATTGTATCTTGTGTCTTTTGAATATTATGTATGGACACTGGAATAGGTCTTGTTTAAATCCTATGGAGGATGTTGACTGTTTCATTTTAGCAGGCAGTCAACCCATGTAGCCTCTGGGCAGAAGTTCCTGACCACCCTCTGTGCACTGTGGTTCTGATGTGGGTTCCGCTTCCGCAGCCTCTGCAATGCTGTTTGAATTTGTCTCATGTGCTGTGCAGCCCAGTAGTCAGGCTGGGACCCAAGCAGTGGTCTACCAAGGAGACCAAAGGCTTTGGTCAGATCCATGCATACACCACTTGCAAGAAGACCTAGGAGTTCACAGCCAAAATTGTGAGGCCTCTTTCTTGAGTCCCCTCCTCTCTATGATTTCCCTGACACTTCCTGCTCCTGGGCATCCCTTCCCGGTATTCTGAGTAGAATGTCTAAGCTTTCGTTTCCTTGCTCTGTCATACAATCCTGAGACTGATTGTGCCTCTGGGGCCAAGCAGTGAGAAAACAGAAGAAAAACCAATGTGGATTCCATCTATGTCCTTGGACCAAAGTTTCTCTGGTCAGAGACATGGATTTCCCTTCCTTGGGGTTTCGGGTGCCTGCCCATTCACAGCTGCCCATCCATACCACGTAGGACTGCCTGGGGACTGGATGGGAAACAAGGGAAAGAAAAGGCAAGCAATAAAGATAACAGGTGATTTCATCCACATTCTATCTAATAGGAGACCCCTTTTCTGCTCCTCAGACCAGAAATAGAGGGGGCTTCTCTTGGAGCTTTCTGTCTATATTTACCGTATACTTCTGGGCTTCAGGTTAAAAGGATGCTACTTATAATGCCACCAAAAAGTATGGAGTACCTACCAATAGACCTAACAAGGCAGATATAAAATACCTGTAGAAAAAAATTACACAATTTTGTTGGGATATTTTCAAAGGGCCTAATTAAACAGAAAGATATTCTAAACTCATAATTTAAAAACTGACTATTGTAAAGATGTCAGTTCTTTCCCATTGATTTAAGCTTCAACTAAAACATCAGATAAAACCTCAACAGAATTTTTAAAAGGAAACTTAACAGTTTATTGTAAAATGTATACGGAAGGGTGATTTATAAAAGCCCCAAATCAGCAAGACAATGATCAAGAATGAGATAGGAGGTTTTCCACTACTGGACATCAAGATTTATTTTTAAAAACTACTTATTATGGAGTGCAGTATTGACACAGGGATATTCAAATAGCCCAGTGGAACAGAATATAAAGGCCAGCCTAATTCTTGGACAAATTCCTTTCATCCTGGTAGAGAGCTTTCTACCTCAACTATTTACAAATTACCAAGTGTTTATTGAGCACCTGTTTTGTGCATTGCTACAGTGAAAACAACACTACAATTTACTCTCATGGTTCAGTTAAAGTTTAAAATTTTGCCGAGAGAATAGGACACTTGCACAAATAAAGCAATCCGAGGACAAAACCCAAGATAACAAATAACAATTGGGTGGTATGGATAAAAAAAGCACATACAAAGTTAGGGAATGAGGAGATTAAAGTGAACTAGAGACAGGATATGAATAAGAAGTCGAAAAAAATGGTGAGGACCTCAAAAGGCAGAAGTCAAATTACTGCACACAGATAAATAGCATGAGACAAAGTATGAAGGGAGGAGTAAGAAAATGTACGTAAAAGATGGGGAAGAGATACGATAAACCGTTCTCTTCCATAGAACTCTTCCATAGTTCTTCCATAGAACTTCCATAGTTCACCTATGGAAGCCGTGTGAGACTCTATCAATAAAGAAAGAGAGCCGCAACTGCTAGTTTCCCGAGTCAGGACTTTTTTTTGGTAAAAAAGAAGTCACTAAACATCCTTCAATAGGCAAGGAGCCTAAAGCTAGTTTTGTTCCATAAAAATTTGATGAAAGTATGAAATCTAGCCTTGAGGATAGATTATGTGTGATAAAGGTATGGAGACAGTAAAGAGAAAAAAGGAAGGAACAAATCTGAAATACATTTGTTAGGAACTGAAGTCATTAAAATTGAGGTTTAAAAACACATAAGATGCAGGTTTTATTAAATTCAGGTTTCAGAGTTGGCTAACAAAAAAAAGTGAAGCAATCTAAATATTAGGAATTCTACAAATAAAATTAAAACACTGAAGCAGATGGTTAACTTTCTGGTTTGACCTACCAGTATTTACTTTTGACGTCACATGAGCTACGTCAATTTTCTGGGACCTGATGAGAGGTACAGCAGCTTTTGTAGAAGGAGTGTGTGTTATATTCTTCCTTCGACCTTTTGCTTTACTTATCTTTGAAAGAGGTGCAAAAATACCTAAGGGAGAATGCAGAATTTTAGTGTTAAACAATTAAAACATTTCAAATAAAGGAACAAGTACAACTAATTAGTAACATAAATCTTTAATATAAACCTTTAGTGCCCACTGCATGTCCTATGATGAGAGGAAAAAAAATGTAAGACACAGTACTTACCCTCAAAGAGCTTACAATCTAGTTTTCAAGACTAACAACACGTCAATAATGTAAGAACCACATTTCAGGTGTTAAGTGAAATTCAGGAGAAAGAGAAATGAGTAAAGGTAATATTGATAGTTTTCTATCATTTTTTTTAACCTTTACGGTAACTTTTAAGAAATGTCTGTATTGTATTTGAAGACTGTTTGCCATAAATCTGAAATTTGAACCTATGTATTTCAATTTGGTTTTCTATCATTTCTAAGCAATTGGCAAATAACAGTGAGCCATAGAGCATAAAAATCTATTCTTCCATGCCAACTTACAACTCCTTTGGAAGTTATATTTATCCCACATTATAGCTTTTTATGTCCATGTCTTTCTTATCTCTCTTCCAGACTAACACCTTTTAAAGACAAAATTTAAATGTTACTTAACTCTGCATTCCCCCACTGTACCTAATTACAGTGTGTTACACATAGCAGGGATAAAATAAATCTTTCTGACTATAAAATATAATCTTCCTAAAAGGCCTGGCCCTCAGGTCCTGACAATCAGAAACAATACAGTGTACTTTGGGGAGGGGAGCGGCAGGGGCAGGGGGGTTGCCTATCTGCAGCAGCTGGGAGTACAAAATTCCACCAAAAAGGAGTTTATCCATACAATAAAATAACCAGCATACAAAGTATGCACCGACATTAGAGATAGTGAATACAGACTATAAATACCGAAATAATCTGGCTAAGATATTTAAAAAGTGAAAATAAAGCCATAATATGTATATTACACTCTTTCATTGAGTGTTTACAATCTAGCAAATATACATTATGACTAAAATGGAATATATCAAAAACAACTTGTTTTAAAGCAGGGTAGAAATGCTCGAGACTCTGTAAGAAGTGAGTGCTTTGTTAATAACTAAAAAGTACCAACTACACTACTTTCCTGCTAATCTTAAAATTCTCTCCCACCTCAGAGTCCATACTACTTTATCCTGATTTTCTTATCTTTTTTAAACTTATTTACAATGTTCTCTCTTCTGTCTCCTACCTATGAGATTTTCCATGACTTTCTATTCTTTCTCTAAATTATTTTCCTTCCCTAACACACACACACACTCTCTCTCTCTCTCAAGCCTGGTGATAATGACGACGATGATGATGATTACAACCAGTGTCGGCAAGGGTTTGACGAAAGAAATTATTTTATACTCTGGGAATGTATATTTGTATGATCTTTTTAGAAAACAAAAATCTTGACCTAATCCACTTTATAGAATTAATTTTAAAGAAATAATTATATTTAATGGTATGACAAACGTTACAAGGTTTCATCTGTATACTAAAAGAAAAAAATACATTTCAAGAGGTGACACAATTTCTACTTTACTACAATGACCCAATCACACTTCTGGAAATGAATCATGAGAAAATACTCTAAATAGGAGGAAAAGGTTGTATATCTGAATATGTCATCACTGTAATATTATTCATAAGTAGGAGAAAACATAATTGCCTGCCAATATGATGAATGAATTCACTATATCCATAAACCACTATATCATTATAACATTATAAGACAATAAAGATTATGTAGAAATATAGAAAAATATGAAAAGTAAATCAGGCCAGGCGCTGTGGCTCACATCTGTAATCCCAGCCATTTAGGAGGCCGAGGCAAGCGGATCACCTGAGATCAGGAGTTCAAGACCAGCCTGGCCAACATGGTGAAACCCCATCTCTACTAAAAATACAAAATTTAGCCAGGCACGGTGGTGCGTGCCTGTAATCCCTATCAGGAGGCTGAGGCAGGAGAATCGCTTGAACCTGGGAGGCCACTGCACTCCAGCCTGGGCAACAGAGTGAGAGACTGTCTCAAAAAAAAAAAAAAAAAAAAAAAAAGAGCAAATCAAAAAAATTAAGTTATGTATTTGATTACATTATGTGAAAAATTGTATGTGTGAATACAGGCAGCAGGCAGGATTGGAAGAAACCTAAAATAAACATTTATAAGAGAAGTCAAGCTATGGAGTCTTTTTCTGATTTGTTTGATTTGTGTCATTAATGTCATAATAATGTTCAATAAATTATGTTTTTCTTCATGTCAGGGAAAACGTGTGGTTTTCTGAACAGCAGCAAGTTGAAGGGCCAAAACCTAGATCAGGAAACAGTCACTGAAGGACACTTTTCAGTATTAGTAAACCCTCTTACGATGATTAAAAGAGAAGGGTAGCCCTCTCCACCTTTTTGTACTTTCTCTTCAACTTCCACTGACCATAAAATGTTTCTCTTCTGAGTAACCCCATCATTTGGTGAACCTTCCCCCTAACAAAGTGGGATGGGGTAGAAGGCTAAATTAATTGGAGTGGGAAGAGGAGACACCACTGGAGGCAGCAGTGCTGGGTGGAATTGCCTAGGATGTAGCATGTTGGCTTTCTCTCTCTTTCTCTTCTCCCTTTATTATGTAAGAGCTATTTCATTTTAACTTATTATGGTGATCACACAGGCAAAAAGACGAAAAGGAGAGAAAATGTACCTCTTTTACTGGAATAATGTTTATGATTATAAGTGAATAAGGTATTTTTATCAATATGAAGGCAACTTTGGCTGATATAACCTCTATCATGACTACTGACACCTTTACTTCACTATCAATAATAAATATATTTTCTAACAAAAAAATCTCACCAGGAAATCTCTGTAAGCTAAAGTATATTTGTGTATTAAATTAAATATTTAATTCTATGGCTTAAAAAGATTTCCGTAGTATATAAAACTTCATCTATATAGTTTGCATTCTTCTTTTTTTTTTTTTTTATTAGCCAAAGCATTTCAGAGAACCAAAACTAAATGTAAAGCAATGACTGGATGCATAGCATATGGGCGGCCTCTATTACTCAGTTACTCAGGCTAACTGAAGTATTGATAGGACTTTTCTCAAATCTCGACATGTAACTGTAAGGCTTAACTAAAAACAAACACATGATGAATTATTTGGAAAGACAAAAATAACAAATTTCCAGATAAACATGGCCCACTGAATATAGGTTTAACTCCAATTCTTCTTCTCCAACCCCCACTAAAATATCGGTAAGGAATAAAAATGGTATGAACTCTAAAGAAAAAAAAAAAAAAGAAAAGGAGAAAAAATACTAAACGCTTCCAAGAAGGAGGAAAGGGTCAAAAACAGAAGATGGAAAAACCTCTACCTACTTTTTGTTTTTCCTTTTTCATTTTATACTAAATAACCTGTACAACAATACTTCAAAACATCTGAACAGCAACACTGGAAGCTCAGGATAGTAGTTGGTAAACTATGGCCCAACAGCCATATCCTGGCTACTGCCTGTTTATTGGTCAATTTTTATTGAACCGTAGCCACGTCCATCTGCTTACACACTGCCTATGGCTGCCCGTTTACTACAACAGCAAAGCTGAGTAGCAGGTACAACAGAGAATGCATAGCCCACAAGGCCTACAACATTTACCATGCGGCCCCTTACAGAAAAAGTCTGTCAAACTCTACCTGAGACAATAGAGTATCTCCTTAAATATACTGAGAGAATATGAAATCCAATCTAACTTTCCTCATCCCAAATTATCACATAAAGTTTGAGGGGAGAAATCAACATGTGTTTAGAATAGAAGGTCTCAACACATTTACTTCTCATGAGTCCTTTGTCAGAAAGCTACTGAAGGACAGGCTATACCAAAAACAAGTCAACCAACAAACTGCTACATTGGGTTTCATATTCTCTCAGTATATTTAAGGTAATACTTTGTTGTCTCATGTAGAGAACTAAATCTCTCTCTTCATAGTACAAACTCACTAGATGTCTTGAACTGGAAAAATCAAGAGAGATTCACGTAAATATATTAGTTACAAATACAGATATTAATATCAGACAATACAGCTAAAAGAGTTGAAAAAGTTCTTGCCTAGTTCTAAGGAGCAGGATTTGAGGGCAGAGAAAAACAAGCTAAGAGACAGTTTTGTAATAAGCCTTGCCGTACAATCTGACTTGAGTAAACTAAGTATATGTATTCACTTTGGCAATTATTAAAAGACATAAAAACAGTAATACCACCAAGTATTAAAACTTATCATTTTCTACAGTTAAAAAAATCTAATAGGTATGAGAATTAACAGATCAATAGAACAAAATAAGCCTGAAATATACCATAGCATTGATAAGAACTTAATCTATAATAAAAGCAGCACAACAAGCCAAAGGGAAAAGATGATAGATTTGGAAAGAGAGAAAACCATTGTTGAGAAATTCCTTGGCTTCTGATTAGCCAGGGGATTCCCCAACTCCCCTCCCCTCCACCTTAAGTAGCTTAGCCGTGACCTGGGGCTCCCAGGGCTGTCAAGGGCTATACCCATTTTCACACAATCCAACACATGACCCCTGCCCCACAACTTGCCTTTGAGTACATACAAGGGGACGGGGGTATCCAGCTTTGTGCCAATCAAGCACGCCTCCCCTTGGGATAATGGGAGTTTGGGAGTCCCCATGAGTTCTGCTGGCAATCTAAATGATTCCATAATTCTGATTTACCTCTGCCCTATGTGTTGCTAAAGGCTTTTGATCCTGCCCTTAATCTGCTTGACAGGTGGCAAAGTAATCTATCGGAGGAAAATTAAAATTAAATTCTTAACCTCAAACTACTAACCAAATAAATTCCAAATGGATTACATAATTAAGTATAAAAATTAAAACATTTACATTACAGCTAGACAGGAGGAATAAGTTCTAGTGCTCTGCAGCACTGTGAGGTGAAGATGGTTAACAACAATTTATTGTGTATGTTGAAAAAGCTAAAAGAGAGGATTTTGAATGTTCTCAAATGATAAATGTTTGAAGTGATGAATATCCTAATTACCCTCATTTAATTACACCTTACATTACACAGAAATATCATTCTGTACCCCATAAATAGGTACAATTATTTGTATAAATACAAATATTTAGTGCCAACTATAAATAAAAGGAAAAATATAAACATTTAAAGAAATATAAAATGTATAATCCTTAGATTAGGAAGAATTATCAAAGCATAAAAGTAATATAAGAATTGATAAAAGTCTTTAAGCCATAAAACTACATGTCCAAAAAACATTGCAAATGAGGTTCAAAGGCAAATGACAAGCTAGACAAAATATCCATAATAAATAAAGCTTAATATCATAAGTATGTATTTTAAAACTCATCCTTTTTTAAAAAAGACACACTAATATCCCAATTTTTACTGGGAAAATAATACAAACAGGCAATTGCCAAGAAACATAAAAAATACCTATACTACAACAAAACACTTTAAAAAGTGTTCTATTTCACCACAATAAGAGAAATACCAATTAAAATATAGAAATTTTCATCTGTCAAATTGGAAAAATTAAAGGAAATGGAGCTATTCAAAATCAAATTTTCAAACAATATGTAAAGATTTGGGGAAATTACACTAGGATATTAAATAAAAATGCAGAATTTTTACTTTCCTCTTGTTTTCAAATCTTATACAATCAGCATTTTTATAAACAAACAAAAAAAGTTTTAATAGACCAAAAAAATGAGATTCCATCCTAAGTGTGTGATGAAAGGAAACTAGTTAATTTTGATAAAAGCGTGATAGCCAACAGCTCTCATCTGTTGAGTGCTTACAGGGAATCATGCACTGTTCTAGGTGCTTTATACTTTTACCAACACATTTAATTCTTGCACTAGTCCTTATGATAGTGTCATCCCTATTTCACAGAAGACAACTGAGGCACAAGAAGAGAAAGACAGTCACATAGCTGGTAAGTAAAGAAATCGAATCACACAAAAGCAGTCAGACTCCAAAGTCCATCCGCTTCATCATCATCATCATACCACACCACCTCACCATCAGGCCACAAGATGAATACTACACAATCGTGGAAAACAATGTTCTAAAAGAATATTTCATTTCAAGGAAAAGTATTCACAACATAGTAAGTGACTACAAAATCAAATTGAAATCAATAGACAGGATAGGTGTGTGTGAGAGAGAGGAAGAATAAATTTACCTAAACATGTCAGAAAGAATTTACTTAAACATTTGTCAGAATTTACTTAAACATTTGTCAGAAAGAGAAAGAAACCTCGCAGAGTTTCAAAGAAACCTCAGGAATGCGGTCATAAAGTTGGCCTTGCTTGATTTTTCCAGTTTTCCAAGTTCTTCATGACCTCCAGAGCTCTGTACTTCCTTGATAACCAAGTCCCTCCCTTGGCCACAACACTACTAGGTGCAGGATTTGAGGGAGGTCTGCAGAGCTGGGCGTGCCCCTGGTCAGAGGCCTTCTCCCAATCACTATACTGCTGGCAGCAAGAATCAAGGGCAGCCCAACAGCTCACAGCCTACTAACGAAAAAACCCCTCTCATCACTGTCTCCCCACTAAAAGCCACCCAAGAGACCAGTCCCAAGAAAGACACTTTCCCAAAAACATCATTGAGACAATTCCATCAGATGCCCTCTTCACCAGTCACTACCAGACACCCTCCTAAACCTTTCCATCATGGCCTCTGAAATTCATGGTTGGCCAGGCACAGTGGCTCATGCCTGTAATCCCTGCACTTTGGGAGGCCAAGGTGGGCAGATAACCTGAGGTCAGGAGGTCGAGACCAGTCTGGCCAACATGGCGAAACCCTGTCTCTACTGAAAATACAACAATTATCCAGCCATGGTGGCAAATGCCTGTAATCCCAGCTACTCGGGAGGCTGAGGCAGGAGAATCGCTTGAACCTGGGAGGCAGAGGTTGCAGTGAGCCGAGATCGAGCCACTGCACTATAGCCTGGGCGACAGAGCAAGACTCCGTCTCAAACAAATAAATAAATAGTGGAAAGCTGCGCCTGATCTAATGCAAGGCTAACTCTTATACTGAAATCCTTTTCCCTTTCAAGTTTTTCAGGACTTTCCTCCTGGAAATGTCCCCTTTCTCTCCTGCAACCACCATTTCTCCCTCTCACGTCGCCTCTCGTCAGTGTAAATAAATATAACTATCTCCTATCTTTAAAAAGTCCTCCCTACATCCACATGCCCCTCATTTATCACATAAGAAATCAGGAGAAAAGTTTTATTTAACAACTGTAAAAGAGTAAAACTTGATTATTTTTAATTAATTCTTACCGAGTTAAATAATATCAACCTTACCATACTTGGGGGCACATTTAAAGTACTGGACTTTTCCAACACTTCCATTATTTTTTCCTTCTGGTTCATCCAGTTCAATGCCAGCCCACTGCCCACTTGCAAATTCAGTTGTTCCACAAAATCTTAATGTACCAACCTAAAGAAAATATAAACCAGAATAATTTTGGGGAATTATTAGTAATTCCAAGGGTCCTACTCTTGCAACTTTACTTCACCATGGGAGTTTTTAAAAATTCACTCTCTCAAAGTGAATTTTAAAAATTCGCTCTCTCAACATTACCTTTTTATGCTTGGTAATGTTCCTTGCTCTCACTTCAGAGCCAGGAACATTACCAAGGATGAAAAAGAACATTAAATAATAATAAGGGAGTCAATTTCCAAGAAGACATAAGAATCCTAATTAGCTGGATAGTAGCACACACCTGTAGTTCCAGCTACTACAGGGGCTGAGGCAGGAGGGTTGCTTGAGCCCAGGAGTTCGGGGCTACAGTGACCTATGACTGTGCCACTGCACTCCAGCCTAGGCATCAAAGTGAGACTCTTCTCAAAAAAAAAAAAAAAAAAAAAAAGGGATATAACTATGTTGGGAAACTCAATATCCAAGCAGGAATTCCCTGTTCCATTCTCCATACCAAGCTCCCTATTAACCTCAATATTAAGAAAAAACTGAAGGGACAGGGCTAGGGGAGGGATAGCATTAGGAGAAATACCTAATGTAGATGACGGGTTGATGGGTGCAGCAAATCACCATGGCACACGTATGCCTACGTAACAAACCTGCATGTTCTGTGCATGTATTCCAGAACTTAAAGTATAATAAAATAATTAAAAAAAGAAAAAACAAGAAAACCTCCCATATGAGATATTTTTAAAAAGCAACTGGCAATAAATGAATACAATATGGAAACAAAAGCTTGGGAGGAAAAAAGGTGTCTGGATGATGGGAGTAGGAGTCCTCTTTTCCACACAAATCCTTATCACCAGGTTACATAATATCTCAGACTGCCCTATTTGTGGGAACCCAAAGACAAACACCCATGAACAGCAAGGGTCTCCTGTGCTCCATTTCTATGGAGGAGCAGCAGTCAGAGAAGTACCACTGGGGAAAGAGGGGACTGCAAAGATAATCCTCCACCTTAGATCATCCCTTAGCTCATGCTTCTAAATTCACTCAAGAGTTCTACTCCACTCCACTCTTTATTCAAATAAAGATGTCTTCTTTATTAAGTTCAAGTAGTTTATATTCTTAAAGCATAACTTAACAGTAAATTCATATCTAAGTTTTACATTTTCCATTAAGCATCTTTCTACCTACATGTTGAACCTTTTTCAAAAACTCAAAACTCTGACCATACTGTGTCCTTGAACATAGGTCATGGACATAACAACCCTGGCTTCAGAGATTGCAGTTACTTACTGTACCTTCTGTCCTGCAATAACAACACGATCCCCCAACTTCAGGCCAAGTGACGTAAGCATTGCCTTGCCAGTGACATGATCATAATTTGGGAGCATGGCCTTTGAGATGTTACATGACAGAGGCACCGCATCTAGAAGCATCTGCTTGATTTCCTTAGCAGTGGCTGCGGCGTCAGCCATCTCTAACGGCATATCTACTGGGTCTGGAACAACATCAGCAGGGATCTGTCCTTTGTCATTCTACAAATAAAGATAAGAGAAAAATGTTCAACTCTTACTTAGAGCACTAGAAAGTCATATAAAATTTCTGTTGGAAGAACTTTACGTTAAATTCATTCATCATTTGTTTATTCAAAAACATTTCCTGAACGCCTACAATATGCAGACACCATTCTAGGTGCTAAAGATCCTACAGTGAAAAAAACACAAGCCCTGCCCTCAAGGAACATTACATTCTGGTGGGAGAGATAGACCATACAACATTAAACAAGTAAATTATATGTGGCATAATAAACAGTCATAAGTGGCCTGGAGGGAAAAAAAAAAAACAGGGAAGGGGAATAGGAAATGTGGAGACAGAGATGGTTGTAGGGGAAACTCTTTAGATTAAGTGGTCAGGGAGGCCTCACTGATGAGATGCATCTCCACAGAGATCCAAAGCAGACCAGGGAGGAGCTGTGCAGGTTCTCTGGCAGGGAAAAGCAAGGCGTCCATGTGGGGAGCGGTGCTCAGGTCCTAAACGGAGAGCATTCTGCCCGCAGAGGCATGAGAAAGCAAGCTTGGAAACAAAAGTCACAGGACTGACGCTTCCCAGCCCCAGATCCATGGTTCCAGAGCTGCCCTCTTGGCTCTGTGACCTCAGCCCCCTGCCCATTCATGGGGTAACTCAGATTTCAAAACTAGAAACTATGGTTTTGATACTACTAAAACCTGGGCTATAATCAAGAAAAAAGCTCTGTTTTCACTATGACAGAAAGACTGTATCCTGGGATTTGTCCTGTGACAAGATAAAATGGCCAATGACAACCCCACGGTCATTTGCATGGTATATGTATCATAAAAGCCCTATCATATGAATTATCTGTCATCTTACATTCCCTAACCAAAAACCTTAGACTTCATGAGAAATAATTTAGATTGTAATCTTCTTTTAATATAAAGAATAAAGATACTTTTGTTAACTGAGAAACTTTTTTCCCTTTCTTCACTGATACAATCTTCTTCAAATGATTCACATGGAAAAATGAACGAGGCTTTTAGAACACACTTAGTTTGCAATTGCTTCGCATTTTTTTGTTTTAAAATTCAAGTCAGGTTGGTCCTTAGTAGAAATATGGCAAGAAGATATGTTATTAGATGTCTAGGATGGTAATGGACTCTTCTAATCCCAGATTTCAAGAAAACATACAAAATACAATAAAGATATGTGTTACACTAATGTATACTCTCTAAAAAACAGAGAGAGAAAAATAGGGAAACATAAAAATTTTTAAAATACACCCAGGCTAAGTTGTAAGCTATGCTTACAGTGAATATTTTACTTTGGACTTTTGTTATATCCCCACTTTTTGGAACCTGTCACACACTTCTGTTAATTCCCATACAATTCAACAATCGAAACTTCTGTTAAAAAAAAAAAACCTAAATAATAGTAAGAATAATAAAATAACAATGACGATATCTTCCTAAGACAAGAAGGCTTATTCATGATCAATTGTGGAATTCCACTTTCTTCTAAAGTGGTGGCATACCACCAGACTGGACCTATAAAAGACGATTAAGGGAGTTCTACACATGGAAACAAAAGAATAAAACTTGCTACCACAAAAGCATACTTAAGCACATAGTCTATGTTCTTCATAAAGCAACTATACAATTGAGACTAGGAGGCAACTAGCTAACAACACGACAACAGGAACAAAACTTCACATTTCTATATTAACCCTGAAAAAGGTTAATAAAAGATGATTAAGAGAGTTCTAAACATGAAAACAAAAAAATAATACTTGCTGTCACAAAAGCATACATAAGCACATAGTCTATAGACTCCATAAAAGCAACTACACAATCAAGGCTACAAAGCAACTAGCTAACATGAAACAGGAGCTCAACTTCACATATCAATATTAACCCTGAAAATAAACAGCCTAAACACAGCACTCAAAAGACATAGAGTGGGAAATCGGATTAAAAAAAAAGAAGACTTGTCCTTCTGCTGTCTTCAAGATACCTATTGCACAGGTAATGACACCCATAGGCTCAAAGTAAAAGGCTGGAGAGAGATCTATCATGCAAATGGAAAACAAAAAGGAGCAGATGATCACTATTAAACATACTTTAAGCCAACAACAGTCAAGAGGGACAAAGTAGGGCATTACATAATGATAAAGTGTTCAATTCAACAAGAAGACTTAACTATCCTAAATATACACACACCCAACACTGGAGCACCCAAATTTATAAAGCAATTACTACTAGACTTACAAAAAGATGTAGATAGTCACACAATAATAGTGGGTGACTTCAACACCCCACTGAAAGCATTAGACAGATCAAGGCAGAAAACTAACAGAGAAATTTTGGACTTAAATACAGCACTTGACCAGTTAGACTTAATAGGCATCTAAAGAATACTCCACCCAACAACCACAGAATATAAATGCTATTCTCATTTGCACATGGAACATACTCAAAGATTGACCATGGTCATAAAGCAAGTCTCAACAAATTCAAAAAAATCAAAATCACACCAAGAATCTCTTGGACCACCGTGGAGTAAAAATAGAAATCAATACCAAGAAGAGCTCTTGAAAACCACACAAATACATGCAAACTAGAAAACTTGCTCCAGAATGACTTTTGGGTAAACAATGAAATTAAGGCAGAATTCAAAAAAAATCCTTTGAAACAAATGAAAATAGAGACACAATATACCAAAACCTCTGGGATGTAGCAAAAGCAGTGTTAAGAGTAAAGTACAAAACGCCTGTATCAAGAAGACAGGGAGGTCTCAACAACCTAACATTGCACCTAAGGGAACTAGAAAAATAAGAACAGACACTCCTCAAAAGAAGACATTTATGCAGCCAAAAAACACATGAAAAAATGCTCACCATCACTGGCTATCAGAGAAATGCAAATCAAAACCACAATGAGATACCATCTCACACCTGTTAGAATGGCGATCATTAAAATGTCAGGAAACAACAGGTGCTGGAGAGGATGTGGAGAAACAGGAACACTTTTACACTGTTGGTGGGACTGTAAACTAGTTCAACCATTGTGGAAGTCAGTGTGGCGATTCCTCAGGGATCTAGAACTAGAAATACCATTTGACCCAGCCATCCCATTAATGGGTATATACCCAAAGGACTATAAATCATGCTGCTATAAAGACACATGCACACATATGTTTATTGCAGCACTATTCACAATAGCAAAGACTTGGAACCAACCCAAATGTCTGACAATGATAGACTGGATTAAGAAAATGTGGCACATACACACCATGGAATACTATGCAGCCATAAAAAATGATGAGTTCATGTCCTTTGTAGGGACATGGATGAAATTGGAAATCATCATTCTCAGTAAACTATCGCAAGGACAAAAAACCAAACACCGCATATTCTCACTCATAGGTGGGAATTGAACAATGAGAACACATGGACACAGGAAGGGGAACATCACACTCTGGGGACTGTTGTGGGGCGGGAGGAGAGGGGAGGGATAGCTTTAGGAGATATACCTAATGCTAAACGACGAGTTAATGGGTGCAGCACACCATCATGGCACATGTATACATATGTAACTAACCTGCACATTGTGCACAAGTACCCTAAAACTTAAAGTATAATAAAAGAAACAAAATAAAAAATAAAAATAAATAAATAAAAACACGTTAAAAAAATAAATAAGAACAAACTAAACCCAAAGCTAGTCAAAAAAATAACTAAAATTGGAGTACAACTATATGAAACTGAAACCAAAAAAGGCATTCAAAGGATCAGCAAAATGAAAAGATGGTTCTTTGAAACAATAAGATTGACAGACTGCTAGCTAAAGAAAAAAGAAAGATCCAAATAAGCACAATTGGAAATGATAAATATGACATTACAACAATCCCACAGAAATGTAAAAGATCCTCAGCAACTACTGTGAATACCTCTATTCACATAAACTAGAAAATCTAGAGGAAATCTAGAAAATCTAGGAATCTAAATTCCTAGAAACACACAACCTTCCAAGAACCAGGAAGAAAGTGAAACCCTGAACACACCAATAATTAGTTACAAAATTGAATCAGTAATAAAAAACCTACCATCCAGAAAAAGCCCTGGACCGAATGGATTCACAGCCAAATTCTACCAAACATACGAGGAGGAGCTGATAACAATCCTACCAAAATGATATGAAAAAACCAAGGAGGAGGGATTTCTCCCTAATTCATTCTATGAAAGCAGTATCATCTTGATACCAAAATCTGGCAAAGACACAACAAAAAAGAAAACTACAGGCCAATATCCCTGATAAACACAGACACAGAAAACCTCAAGTTACTAGCAAACCAAATTCAGCAGCATACCAAAAAGATAATTCACCGTGATCAAGTCATGCAAGGAGGTTCAACGTATGCAAGTCAATAAACGTGATTCACCACATAAACAAAATTAAAAACTGTAGGATCATCTCAATAGACACAGAAAAAGCAATCAATAAATTCCAACACCCCTTCATGATAAAAAAAAAAAACCTTCAACAAATTAGGCATTGAAGGAACATACCTCAAAATACTAAGAGCCATCTATGACAAACCCACAGCCAACATCATACTGAACGGGCAAGTTGGAAACATTCCTCCTGAGAATTGGAACAAAACAAGAATGTCCACTGTCACTACGCCTATTCAACATAGTACTGGAAGTCCTAGCCAGAGTAATTAGGCAAGAAAAAGAAATAAAAGGCACCCAAATAGGAAAAGAGGAGGTCAAATTACCTCTCTTCACCAACAATATGGTTCGATATGTAGAAAATTCTAAAGGTTCTGCCAAAAAAAACCTCCTAGACCTGATAAACAACTTCAGTAAAGTTTCAGGACACAAAATCAATATACGAAAATCAGTAGCATTTCTATACACCAATAACACTCAGGCTGAGAACAAAATCAAGAACACAATTCCATTTACAACAGCCACAAAATAATAATAAAAATACCAAGGAATACATCTAACCAAGGAGATGGAAGATCTCTACAATAACTATGAAATGCTGCTGAAAGAACACAAACAAATGGAAAAACACTCCATGCTCATGGACTGGAAGAATCAGTATCATTAAAATGTCCACATTGCCCAAAGCAATTGACAGTTTCAACAGTCTTCCTATCAAATTTCCAACATCGTTTTTCACAGGATTAGAAAAAACTGTTCTAAAATTCATATGGAGCCAAAAAAAAAAAAGAGCCCAAATAGCCAAAGCAATCCTAAGCAGAAAGAACAGAAGCCAGAGGCATCACATTACCTGACTTAAAATTATACTACAAGACTCCAGTAATCAAAACAGCATGATATTGCTAAAAAAAATAGACATATAGACCAATGAAACAGAATAGAGACCCCTGAAATAAAGCCACACACAACCAACTGATCTTTGACAAAGCTGACAAAAATAAACAGTAGGGAAAGGACACTCTACTCATAGATGGTGCTGGGAAAACTGGCTAGCCATATGCAGAACAATGAAACTGGACCCCCACTACTCACTATATACAAAAATTAACTCAAGATGGATTTAAAATTTAAATGTAAGACCTCGAACTACAAAAATCCTAGACGAAAACCTAGGAAATACTCTTCTAGGCATTGGCTTAGGCAAAGAATTTGGGACTAAGTCCTCAAAAGCGAAGGCAACAAAAACAAAAATTGTCAAACAGGACCTCATTAAACTAAAGAGCTTCTGCACAGCAAAAGAAACTATCAACAGAGTAAACAGACAACCTACAGAATGGGTAAAAATACAAACTATGCATCCAACAAAGGACTAATATCCAGAATCTATAAGGAATGTAAACAAATCAACAAGAAAAAAAATCCCATTAAAAAGCGGCAAAGAACATGAACAGACACTTCTCAAAAGAAGACATACAAGCAACCAACAAATATAAAAAATGCTCAACGTCACTAATCATCAGAGAAATGCTAATCAACACCACAATGAGAGACTATCTCACACCAGTCAGAATGGCCATTATTAAAAAGTCAAAAAATAACATCTTGGTGAGGTTGTGGAGAAAAGGAACATTTATACACTGTTAGTGGGAATGTAAATTGGTTCAGCCCCTGTGGAAAGCAATGTGGAGATTTCTCAAAAAACTAAAAACAGAATTACCATTTGACCTAGCAATCTCATTACTGTACACACCCAAAGGAAAATAAATTATTTTACCAAAAAGACACTGCACTCATATGTTTTTCACAGCACGATTCATAATAGCAAAGCCATGGAATCAACCTAGGTGCTCATCAATAGTGGACTGGATAAAGAAAATGCGGTACATATAGGGCATACTACACAGTCATTTAAATAATGAAATCGTGCCCTTTGCAACAACATGGATGCAACTAGAGGCCATTATCCTAAGAAAATTAATGCAGAAACAGAAAACCAAATAATGCATGTTCTCACTTATTAGTGGGAGCTGAACACTGGGTACACACAGACATAAAGATGGGAACAACAGACACTGGGACCCCTAAAGACGGGAGGGAGTGTGGGAGGGAAGGAGGTGGGGAAGGGCTAGGGTATGTTCACTGTTTGGGTGACGGCGTCAACAGAAGCCCAAACCTCAGCACCAGGCAATATAACCTATTTCACAAACCTGTACATATACTCCCTGAATCTAATATTTAAAATAAAAATTAAAAAATAAGATGGCGGCTATCAAAGTATGGTCTGAGGGCTACTGCTGACCCATACGTTTACCTTTTTTTTTTTTAAGTAGTTATTTTCAAAATATGGCAACCTATTAATCTGCTTCTGGCCTAAATTGGTAATTTAGCTCAATAACGTATCTCATGGCATCCTAACAAATTCAGAACATTGTCCCCACTAATGGGGCTTTGTCAACAGCTGTACCAACAAAAGCAAACGCCTCCCCCCTTCACACTCCAGCTGGACTGAATGATCATCTCCTAGGCTTCTTGCACGCTACTCTCTCTGCCTAAGATGCTTTCCTCACCCTCCCTTCAGTACCTGTTTAATTCTTGCCTATGTAAGCACTTGATTTAGATGTCACCCCCTGTTGAAGCCTTGGGAAGATGACCCCATGGCCCTCTGCCACCCCCGCCCCATCATGTCACACTGAATTAGCACACTACAGTAAAACTGACTGCTTCCCTGTCCCACCTCCCCTCTGCAAGACATTCTTTTTGAGGGCAAGGGCTTTATCTACATTATTGTAGTATTCTCCCAGTGCCCAATAACCAATATAGTCAGAAGGGAGGGAGGGAGGAAGAGAAGAAATTAAAAGTTGGGGGGTAATCAAGGGGGTTAAACAGAAAGAAAACTGGCAAAGAAGTAGGGAAAATGGGAAAAATAGGAAAGGGAAGGGAAGACAGGTGTTTTCGAATACTGCACACTATCTGCCGCTCACACACATCCCTTCAAGGGAAAGTATAACACGATTAAGAATACCTGCCAGAGCGAGTTATTGTTATTAATATAAAGAAAGGGAAAACAGAACACTTTCTGAAAAAAAAAAACAACAACAACAAATGATCTGAAGACTATGAAATTCAATCCTGTGTAACTCTGTAAATTAGTGAAATTTTACTATTAAAAAATACACTTTTCCTTTAAACATTTCATTTTCAAAGGCTTACTTCATCCTTAAATGGGTATATAACTTTCCGAAATGAATTTCCAAAAAAGTTTAGAATATGATTTAACAGAAAAATATAACTGTAATATATGTATTGCTACTTAACAGCTGACTTTTCATAAATACATCAAACTCCTAAATGAAAGATACTTAAAGATTATGACACTTAAAGGAAGACTTTACTTTCCTGAATGGGACTTATCAATATAAAAGGAAATTTATCATTATGCCTTAAATTTATTTACAATAAAGATCATCATCACTCTTTACATGTGGCACAAAGATATAAATTACTTGCTCATGTAAGAGTTCTTCTATTAATAACATTCAGATTCAACATTTTACCAGAAAGTAAGATTTCTTAATTCTTTTAATATTTTTCACTTTTAATTTAACCTCTTACCCTAAATGCAGGATTTGCTCCCTGCTCCAAGAGGCACTTCACAGCACCTGCACACAAGTTGTATGCTGCAATATGCAAAGCTGTTCCAAAATTAAAATCACTGCAAGTGGCATCCACATCTGCAATTAAACATCATAAGTATATTAACTAAAAGTTTAAACTTAGCTATCATAATTTAAAAGAAGACAGGGCTTTGGGAGGAGGGACTTATAGCATTTGTAAGACTTAAATCAACCCACTAGAGGCATGATTTCACAACAGAACAAAATCTTTATATTACAATCTAGTTAAAATAAGCAGTTGATTATTAGTACAATAAAATTCATTATAAGATGGAGTGATATTATCTTGGATTTTCAAACTAAAACATATTTTAAAACAATTAATGGCAAAAATTCATATCTGTAAAAGTAACAGCTTATCACAATCTCCCATTAAGTCTGTTGCATATTTGCCATGACAACTACAGTGAGGTAGAGTAGTAGAGTTTAGCTCAGGGGTCAGCAACCTATGACTCAGAGGCCAAATCCAGCCCACCTGTTTTTATAAAGTTTTATTAGAACACAGGCACACTCATTCATTTACATATCCTCTGTGGCTACTTCCATGCTACAACTATGGAACTGAGTAGTTTCATCAGAGACCATATGGTCCAAAAAGTCTAAAGTATTTAGTAGCTGGCCCTTTACAGAAAAAAAACGGCCAATACCTGGTAGGTAAAACAAAGCAGAATTTTCAAAGTAGTTAAAGTCTAATTAAGCATAGAAATGCTTACCTATAAATTGATTCATAATACTCTACTGAACAAATGAATTTGAATTTCATAATGAGAAAAGTAATCTTGCAACTCTAAGGACATGTTAATAACGTTTAACATAGCATCATATGTTATACTTAAATACAGGAAATCCTCCAGATTTGGGAATCCCATCTTGAGTATTTTCGATAACAAGGGTTTAAATATACCTCTGGTTCTGCAAATCCTACCCTCAACTAAACAACACCACACCCACATACCCTTCCTACAACTGCAAACCACCCAGAAATACTCGACAAACTCTCTTGAATTATTAAAGACACAGTAGTGTAGACAGAGGCTTTCTTCCCAACATCACTTAGAAATTGAAAAGGTAGAATTTTAAAGAGAAAATGGACAATTATGCAGATTGGAGGTTAGAAATGAACATTCTGGGAAATTTATCTATTGAATCTCTGAAGCATGTTCCTACAATGGGGAAAATATTGTACACTTTAACTTAACGTTAATACTATTTGCTTGCTCTCATATTTTTCTAAAAAAGAAAGAAAAGAAAATTGGGCCCCAAGAGAACCAGAGAGAAAAATCAAAATACCAGGACTGTGACTTAGACATTCAGATCTTCAATTTCAGGATATCACCATCAAAACAGGGAAAAAAAACTGAAATATTATCCCTTAAGTTGAATTATATAATTTCAGAACCAAATGCCATCTAAAATAAATATTATTTATTATTCCAATCTCTGAAGACCTTATTATTCTATTTCTGGCTACCCAAGCAAGGCAAAAGAATCATAAACCATGTAGAATCAATTATATAAAACATCCGTGTTATACTGGAGAACTTATAGAGATATGAAAACCCAGAGAACACTCTTTCATTTTGTATCTCTCTGTACTAATCCTTTTGTAGAAAAGATAGTAATTAATACTCAATAAAGAAATTTTAAACTATCTCAGAAATAAAATGGAGTAGAAAGGCATATGAAACAAGATGGATTAGAAGGAAAAAATATCCTTGAATTATAATTTTTATGCCACCACTAAAGTGTTCAGTTAATAATATCTAAAGGTGATCTTATAATACTTGCCTTTTGGTTTCGATGTTTTCAAAATCACTCTTATAAGTTCAGGGACATCAAAATAAGCAGCATAATGCAAAGCATTCATGTTTGTCCAGCGACTCCGCAAACTAATGTCTGCTCCCAGGTCAATAAGCTGAGTTGCAAATTTTACAGCTGTTTCCACATCACCTAAAGAAGATTTTCTAAATTACTTTCCTTTAGTACAAATTTTAAGTTCCAATGGATGGCTACCAATTGCCTCATTTAAAAAGCCAAAGCAAACAGTGCACTGTATAGACACACTTCAAAAATTTCACTTGCAAGAATTGATCCTAAGAAAATAATCATACTCAGGGATACAGATAAACACTTGGCTGCAAAGATGCTCATCACTGCACTCTTATTGTTAATATAATTCTAAAAAATCCAAAAAGTATAATAAGAAATTGGTTAAATAAATTGAGACACACATAGAATGCTATGAAGCCATCAACAACAACACAGCAGATCAGTGCTCCCCCAAACGTGTTCCGTGGACCACTGGCAGTCCCAAATTGCAATCTGTGTGTACCTTTTATTGCTTTTCCCTATTTAATATGTCTTCTCATTATGTTAACTGAAATGTAGTCTTATGCCTTTTATTCTTTCCTCTTTTTTAAAGACAGTCTTGCTCTGTCACCCAGATTGCAGTGTAGTGATACAATCACAGCTCACGCCAACCCTCAACTACTGGGCTTACACGATCCTCCCACCTCGGCCTCGCAAGCAGCTGAAACTCTAGGCATGCACCACCATGGTTGGCTAATTTTTTAATTTTTTGTAGAGACAAGGTCTCACTGTGTTGCCCAGGCTGGTCTCAAACTCCTGGCCTCAAGCAATCCTCCTGCCTGGGCCTCCCAAAGTGTTGGGATTACAGGTGTAAATCATCATGCCTGGCCAGTTTTATGCCATTTGAAAAATATTTGGGCTTATATTTTATGGCTTTATTTTATTTTGTATTATAAATTCATTTTTATTTTATTTTGTGAAAGTATCAGTTCATGATGAGTTGTGAGGGGAAAAAGGAGTCCATCACCACCAGTAGCTTCAGCACCACCACATCAGACTATTGAAACAAGGAGAGACAATCACAATATATAGTTAAGTAAGAGATGCAGGTTCATACAATGACAAAAAGCACAAGAGAATAACAATTTTGGAAAATATGCACATATGTTACATATGTAGGAACAGACCTTAGGTCTCAAGACTGGGGTCTTAAGATTAGGGATCAGTATGCAAAGACTGACCTTGGACTGTCAAACCTTGTTATAAACCCTCAGAAAGATTTTAGGGTGTTACTAGTTACTCTCATCTATTATGCAATCAGGCATGAGGCCTGATCCAGAAAAGTTAAGAGGTATCAGGAGGGTATAAAGACCTCCTTGATTAAAGGGAATATGGTTTTTGGAAGGACCTAACTGAATCCTCAGCTCTTCAGGCAATATTATCATCATCAGCTGGGTGCCTTCCCCCAGACAATATATGGGCATAAATATAGATTATCTAAGCACAAGTGCAGATGACATAAGCAACTGATAGATTTACCACACACTTACCAATACCATGAGCTCCAGATTTGCAGGTATAATGTAAAAGAGTCATATCTGTCAATCCATCTCTATCATTCACATTGCAACCTCTCTTAAGAATCTGAAGCAGTCAAGGAAAATATGGTTACAACCTAACTACTGAGGTACCTATTGCTTTCAAACCAATGCTGAGGAACCAAGTTAGTCTATCGTATCTGAATTACTTCTCAGTAAAATGTATAGACAGTATGAGCATATCTTAAGGGTAAATTTTTAAATCTGTACTCAACAACAATAATGAAAACTGAACTTGTCAGCAGGCTGAAGGAAATTCTTAAAGATTATTCCAAAGGTAATCTGGCACTCCAAATATGTTCCTCTCAAAAATGAGCAAAATTTTATTTCTATGCGTGTAATGATATTTGAAAAAAGTATAAGCACTCTCTTCCTACAACACAGCAACATACTGGTCAAGGAACCCTCCCTCAAAAAATCTAATATTCTTAAAGACTACATTCAAGCCTATATATTTACCAAACCAACCAAAAGTGTAAATAGAACATGATGGTAATCAAATCCCTTTATGAAATGCATAAAAGTTTACAAAATTAATTTTACAAAGAAGGAAATATGAAAAATGCCCCTCCCTGCACCCGCCAGGAGTCTACAAATGTCAGAAGTACAGAGCATGAAGAAATAATCAGAAGAATATATAGTATTAACTCACTGCCCCATGAAAATCCTGGAAATACAAATAAATATCAGAACTTTTAAAGGGTTTCTCCTTTATTACCATCTTCCTTTCAGATGGGGAAAAAAATCTATACCATTAACAATCCTAACAATGCAAAACTTAAAATGTAAGAATTCCTTACCTCATTTCCAATAATGTCAATGTTTTGTTGGACCTGAGGAACCCACTGTCTCAAAATGGCAAATAATTCTGAAACTGAAGTTTTGGGATCAAAAAGAATTTCCTGGCATGATGCATCATTAGGATCAAAGAAAGAAAATTCTGAAATAAAAAAAGATGCAAATTAAATTTACTAAAAGTTTCAAATAAATATATTGAAAATAATAAACAATAAAACCAAGGTTCAAATGATACAAATATTTTAGATGCTAAAAAAAAATCAGAAGTATCTAAATAAGGAAAATATTATGAACATTTGCTGAGCACTTACTAAATACTTTAAAAATCCTCACCAACACCTTACCTGGCAGGTATTATTCTCATTTTGCACATGAGGAAAGCAAAGCTCAGACTAAATAATACCAGCTCAACATCGCACAGCTAGTAAGTGGCAAATCTGGGGTAGAAAACCAGGTCTGTCTCCAAAGTCTATCTTCTTTCCTCTATTATTCTACTTGCTGAGGTAACTCACCACTGAGCTCAGATTGTAACAGCATGCATAAGTAGTGGGACTCATTGAGGTTTTTTTGTTTTTGCTTTCTTCTTTGCATTTATATATTTTCCAAAATTATACTATGTACACATAGTTCTTACTTCTAGAGTCAGCATAACTAAAAGATGAGAGGCACCAAACTAAAGACACATATACAAGCAGAGCAGCAGTCCATCAGAAGAGAATCAGAAAGATTGAACTGAAATGTGATAACATTCGTAAGCTTAGACAACAAAATGGTCCTGTTAGGCAAAAATCAAAATAGAAGCCAAGACAAACCTTGGCCTCTGAGCCAAAGTCCCACCCCCAGCTCAGGAAAACCTGTAAGGACCTATTCTCCAAAACACCTACTTAAACTGCACATGAAGCTTGAACTTCATTTCTTGGTCAGCATGACTCAGCACATTGCAGCAAATCAGTAATGACTAAACTAACCCACTCATTCTAACCAGTGAGAATTAAGCTGTATGAATTTCCTTTTCTAGGCTTTATAAACCTTACTATAACCTTCGTGAGACAAGCTTCTTACCACTTTTGATTTGGAAGTCTCCCTATTTGCAGTTTTTTACTAACTTAATATTTATATTAAGAAAAGCACCCTGAATTTTCTTTTGACAGTTTTTGATGTCAGAAGCAGGATCAGAAGAAGACCCCTGTGAAGCCCCAAGGCCAGTAACTAGGTGCTGGTACCCAGGGCCGCAGCACTGGCTGCTCTCTCACCCAGCCATGGAGTTCTAGAGTAAGTCTCTTTTGAATCTGAGCTCTCCTCCTTCTGTGTAGAACTCTCCAATTATGCTGAACAACCTTTGCTGAAACTTCTCAGGAAGTCAACCTATTCTGTTCAAAAGGGGGAAGGGTGAAACACATGATTCCCTGTGTTCCAGAGCAGCTGCTGAAAAAAGAATCCTTAATAGTTAAGACCTTTCAGAGAATCTAATGCAAAGATGGGGTCCAAAAACACTGTGGATCAGAATCTTGTGAACTTTACAAAGTTCACAAGAAAAAATAGGTGAACTTTACAAAGAATAATTTGCAATTTCAGTGACCACTTCGGAGAACCTTTAATTTAGGTAAGATAGTCTGCCTTTGGGAGTGCCCTTGAAGGAGGAGTATCCTAAGCCTTTTGGAGACAATGGAATGCATTCTTTGATTTGTATGCAGAAGCTGCTGAACACAAAATGACTCAAAAATAGCTTCTCTAAAAGCATCCCTACAGCACTCAAATAAAAAAAAAATCTTCACTAAAAAGCTGTAGCCATCTGAGCAGGTAACCTTGACTTGTTCCATCTCTCACAGGTACAATTTGGATCCAGCTTCTTTTATAAACCAATAAGCTTTGTATTATTTTAATTGACACATGGCTAAAATTTGGAAATGAAAGCTATAAGATCTCTGTGTCTGTCTGTATACACAAACAGACACAGAGATCTTATAGCTATGTATGTTCAATAGACATAAGTAAAAACAAGTGCTTATATAAATTAAGTATTCCTGAAAACTCTCAGAAAAATAGGAACTAATCCAAATGCTTTTCAAGTTCATGTGACTTGGGTAATTTTCAATAAACAAAAACATTGTTGGTTTAGTTTAAAAAACCAATATGCCTTCAGAGTTGTCAGCATTAGACATAAGGCAGACGTACAACTTTGATTCTATGTAGGTCTACTAGTCAAATAAGCTCATGTTAGACAAGTGAATTACAAATAAGCCTCTGCTATCTCTAAGTTACAAAATTTCTCAGCAAGAAAAACAAGATGATGCTTAGCTATTTAATGTCTCATGAAATTTTCGTAAGTAATCCAAGCATAATTGTTCAAAACAAGTGAATTAAATCAATGTAAGTCCACATAAGATAAATACTGAAACATTAATTGCTGAACATAAGCTTATCTACTTTTGGACAGAGAAACTAAAGATACCTGGGTGTGTTAGTAAACATGTCCTGTGCTACACTGAAAAATTATAATATAAGGAAACGTGCTTCTAGAAATTATGGTGTATTTACATAGATTTCTCAATCTACAGAATGCTAGCGTGACAGTCAAGAAAAAATGTGAAGTAGGAAGATATGTTTTTTGCTGAAAAAGAAAATGAAGGAAAAAAACCAAAATGGCTATAGGAAGTTCAGAAGAGGGAGAGAGAATCTTGTGTGATTAAGCTGGCTAAAATTGAATGAATCTATTATCATTCATATCAAAATAATGCATAACTAGCATTTCAGCTCCTGTTAAAACGACTAAACTTTCTTGGAGTATGGGCCTGCTCTTGATGGGAGATTGTGAAAGGTTTTTCTTTAACTTTTGAATGGTCTGCCTAGAAAGCAAAGATTCTGTATTTTGTCAAGATAATTTCATGTGCTTCGTGCTGTCTTTGATTAAGTTTCTCTCTCAAAAAGTCAAGGGGTTTTGTTTTTTTTTGTTTTTGTTTTTTTTAACAACTACATGGCTTTCTCTGTATTTGCCTTTGAAATCTTTGTCACTTTGGTTAAATGGATAACTAAATACCTGTAATCCTATTTAATCAAGTGCTTTGAATCTTGAATCTTTTGGGTATTCTTTTTATAAACGTCTCAAAAATCAAATTCTGAATGAAGTCTTTTCTGACCTTAGACTAACTCTGGGATTTTTCAACGGCCCCTAGAAAATCTTGTTCTATTTCTTTAAAAAAAAAAAAAAAAAACACAGACATTAAACTAATTAAGCATCTTTGCATGGGAAGCATTGTCAAATAAATGTGAAACTAACTAGGCTTATTTGATATGTGAAACTAACTAGGCTTATTTGATCTATTACACTGCATGAGAAGCATTGTCAAAGGTGATGCTTAACCTTATGTTATTTTTGTATGACTATATTATTAATGTAAGTGTTTTAGAAATTGTATGAAATTCCTAGAAATTGGATATGTTCTGGTATAATTTTATCAGTCATAATTCCAGTTATTATCTTCAAATGTTATAAAATAAACAACCAAATTTCCTTGTCAATTGCATTAAAATGAACTGTCATCAAATCTGTAACTATGGACATTTTAAATCTTTTGCCATCTACAGACAGTGATTTTTTACTCTGATATTTTCCTGAAAGCTTTTGCAAGCATCTGTGATACAAAATTGCTGGAAGATTTACAGAAAAGACTCTGACAAGTGCAGGTTTCTGGTAACTTTAAGATCACAGCATTGGACTGGGTAAGAATTTCCAGCACTCTAATGGAAAACCAATGGATTCATGAGGCTGCTAACCCAAAATCAAGCAGAACAAGAATTACAGGGGACTGAATGAACTGATGAGGGTGATTATAATTTTTATGTCTTTGAAATATTGCGGGTTCTTTAATGTTTGTTTTCTAGAGTTAAAGAATGCCTTTTCTCTTTTCCCTTAAGACCTACAACTTACAGCAATTTGGTGAAGAATACTTTTGTAAACAAAAATGAAACACATTTTCTTTTCTCCCTACCCCAACCCCTCCAAAATTCAGAAACTTATTGAGTATTCTTTATTTTCATGGCAATATAAATATTTACATAAGTTCAATGAAAGTTTGTTTCCCCTGTAACAGGACACAATTGGGCAAGTCCTCTGCTTGGCTTCTTAGACTGAAAAGGCTTTTTAAAGTCTAATTTCAGATTCCTTATTACCAGACAGTTTTAAGGAATTCAGATTGACTTTACAAAACCAATAAAGCCCCTTAGATATTATCAAACCTCTGACTGGAATGGCATACTTGAGAATGTGTACATATTCACTATTCTTGCTGCACTTACATATATAATCAGGCCAGCTTAATGAGACAAAACTTATTTTGCGAACAAATTAGCCTGTGATTATCTTTGGTAGAAATGGGAACTGTAGAGAGAAAAATTGTGTTTCCATAGAAAACTCTAAGTACGCCCATTATCAGATTCTAGTCCTGTTTATTGTCTTTGAGGCACTGTCCACCTATAAACTGCACTGGATCCTGAATTCCTCTAGTTTCCTCCAATATCTGGTTACAACCCTCCAAACTATTATTTCCAAATTCTTAAAACTGTCCTTTTCCCCAACCCCTACTGGATGATTTGATGTAAACTTTAGACAAATCGCCATCATGGCTCATGTAAGGAACCTTTGTGCCTGTTTCTGTGGGGGCCACTTAGAGAATTCACCAAAACATCTGATGACATCAACCAAGACATTCAAACTGCAAACCAGGAAAGTCCATCGGTAGAAACTGCCATCCTCATTTCAGCATCTCAAGATGCTCCAAGAGCAAATCTGGAAATCTTCTTAATGCCCTGCCTTCCAGAGGGCTCATTTAAATAACAATAAGTTAGACTTATTAAGTGCCTTGTAGATGCCAGGGACTGTTCTATGAACTTTGTGTATATTAATTTATTTAATCCTCATAACTACCATATGAGGTAGGCACTATTGTTATTCTCATTTTATAGAAGAAGAAACAAAGGGATAGATAATATAAACAATTTGCCCAAAATCACACAACTGGAAAGTGATTGAGTCAGGATTAATGCCAGAATAACCCAGAATGAGAACATAACCTCTAAGCTACAATGCAATAATATATTAACATATCTAACTACATTTGAATTTTCAACTTCCATAAAGGAAAATAAAGTATTTTTTATGCTGTTGCAAGCTTTTGAGATTAAATGAAAAATAGTTTTTATTTTTTTATTTTTTGTAGGGACAGAGTCTCACTCTCTCGCCCAGGCTGGCGTGCAGTGGCCGATCTCAGTGATCTCAGCTCACTGCAACCTCTGCCTCCCTGGTTCAAGCAATTCTCCTCTGCCTCAGCCTCCCAAGTAGCTGGGACCACAGGCGCACGCCACCACACACGGCTAATTTTTGTATTTTTAGTAGAGACAGGGTTTCACCATGTTGGTCAGGCTGGTCTTGAACTCCTAACCTCAGGTGATCCACCTGCCTCAGCCTCCCAAAGTGCTGGGATTACAAGTGTGAGCTACCAAGCCCGGCCTAAAAAATAGCTTTTAATCAAAAGAAAGTGGGGTGAGGGGAGAAAATGGAGGTGATGTCTACTTTAAGTCAAGATGGAATAATGAGGGCCAAATTCGCCCTTCCATCTGAAACAACCACAACACCAGAGGGAAGAACAATGGTTTTCAAGACACGGGATGTTAGACAATGAAAGACAGTGATCTCTGAGGAATGGAATACAAATGAGAAAAGTCCTACACATGCCCCAGGTAACTGCCTTGAGGGAGTCTCCAGGAGCATAGTTCAGGGGTGGGGCAGGGGGAACCAAGAAAAAGCCCAGCAAACTCGCTGAGTTGAGGAGACAGAGCTAAGTAAGAGTCTGGACTCGCTGAGTTGAAGAGACAGAGCTAAGAGTCTGGACTCACTGAGTCGAGGAGACAGAGCTAAGAGTCTGGGGAACTTGAGGCGGCCAGAGGTCACAGGGCAGAATACAGCAGAGATGGATGCACACACTCCAAGAGAAACCCAGAGACCTGTGCAGGGTCCTCCTCAACTATTCATCATATGCTTGTGAGGAAATACTTGAAGTAAGGGAAAGAACCATCCATAAGGACTACAGGGATTAGTGCCTATTCTCACAAGGAAGATTGAAAAAGAATCCTCATAATTCACACAGCATTGAGTAGAACAGCAGTCCCCAATCTTTCTGGCACCAGGGGCCGGGGTAGGGGGACCAGTACCAGTCCGTAGCCAGGGGGTTCAGGGCCCCTGGAGTGGAATTCTCAGTAGTAGGGAACAATTAGCCCCAGGCCAAGAATGGCTCCAGACCCACCTAACAAATCAGAAAAGTAGGACCTCAAAGGGTCCAACTATTTCCAAGTAACTAAACTGTATCCCAGAACAAAGTTCAAGAATACTTACAGGAATACAAAAATATCCAGCATCTAACAAGGTAAAATTCACAATGTCTGGCAGCCAATTAAAGATTATCAGGCAAGCAAAGAAAGAAGAAAACATGACCCATAATCAGGGGAATAATAGACCTAGAGTTGACATGGATATTATAATTAACAGAGAAGGACATTAAAACAGTCAATATAACTCTATTCCAAATGTTCAAAGGTGGAGAAGAGACCTGGGCATAAAAAAGAGCCAAAGCAAACTTTAGAGATGAAAACTTCATCTGAAATGAAAACTGCACTGGAAAAAATCAGCAGCTAATTAATTAGACACTGCAGAAGGAAAGATTAATGAACTTGAAGATGCAGTAATATAAACTATCCAAAATAAAGAGAAAAAAATGTTTAAATATAAAATAAATCAGTGAGTTATGGGACAACTTCAAGCAGTCTATAATATACATGCAATTACAGTATCTGAAAACGGGGAGAAGCAGACAAAAAATTTTTTTAAATGATTTCCCAAACTTAATGAAAACTGAAACTCAGATCCAAGCAGCTCAACCAAACCCAAGCACAAGAACATACAGAAAACAATACCTAAGCACATAATAGTAAAATTGCTCAAAATAAAAACTCTTTAAAGCAGCCAAAAAAAAGACATTACATCTAGAGAAACAAAAATGACAGCAGAAACAATGCAAATGGGAAGAGAGCAGAGCAAGATCTTTCAAGTACTGAAAGAAAACTACCAACCTATAATTCTAAACCCAGCAAACACATTTTTCAAAAAAATAAGGTAAATAAAGATGTTTTCAGACATAAAACAGCTGAAAGAATTCATCACTGGCAGACCAGCACCATAAGAAACATTACAGGAAGTGCTTCAGGCGGAAGGAAATGGTATCAGATGGAAATCTGGACCTACACTCACAAAGGAATGAAGAGCACTAGAAATGGTAACTACATGGGTAAATGAGATTTTTTTATATTATTTAAATTTAACAGATAATTCAATGTTTAAGCAAAATATATAATAAGGTATTTTGGTATTTATAATGTATATAATGTGTATTCTGCATGAACTGATTCTGAAGGCATTTCAAAGCAAAAGATTCCAAAAATTGTTATGCAAGAACAGTACATAGTTTCACAGGGTAATCACCTTGAGAGTCAACACTGAGTCACATGCCTCAACTCTGGTTTCTGTGGACTGGTTTCTTTTTGTTTCTTTGTTTTACACTCATTAGTTGGTATTATATAAAAATTCCCTATGGGGGCCTACATGACCCCGCATGACCTGGCCGGTGTCTTACTCTCCAATTCCTTCTCCTCCCACTCTGCCATCAATCACTTTGCTTCTCAGCCACAAAGACCTTCCATTAATTCTTAGGATATACCAAGGTCTTCCCTCAACACTGTGCCTTTAGTTTTCTGTTTTCCTTCCTGGAACACTTCTTCCCAGGCTCTTCTCACAGCCAGCCTCTTCTGATTCTCCGAATGACCACCCCATCTAAAGCAGCTGCCTTGCCCCCATTGTTCTCTATCACAGCACCCTGTTTCTTTCTTCCACAGAATTCATTATGACCTATTTTTGCTTTGTCTATTCATTTGTTTGTTTACTGGTCTTCCCTATAGAAGACCTGTCTTGGTCACTGATATCTCCAGCATCCAGGACAGTCCCTAGCACACAAGAGGCCCTCAATAAATACTTGCTCAATAAATGCAATTATATATGCCGCTTTTCAAGGGGAGACTGACCACAGTGTACCAAGAAAGCAGCTACGATGAAAAGGGTCTAGAAATCCTGACAATGAGAAACTGGTGAAGGAAACAGAAATGTGTAGCCTAAGGAGTTTCAGGCTAAGTTAAAATGTTCAAACTATCTGCAGATACTTAAAGGCTATCCTATAAAGGAATTTGTGCCATGTATCAAACTAGAATCACTTGGCCAAAATTTCAGGGAGACCAATTTTGAGTCAACATACGAAAACAATTTTATTACAACTAAAGCTTTTTAACAATAAAATTAACTATTTTGTTAGTTTCCCACTATTGAAGACATGCAAGAGGTTAAATGGTTATCTGACAGAGATCCTGAAAATATGATGTCTACACAGGGAGGTGAGTGGGGAAAGGTTCATAAGAGTCTACAAAAACCTATAATTCTAAGACTACAATGCTTTTTTTTTTTTTTTTTTTTTTTTGGAGACAAAGTCTCACTCTGTGGCCCAGGCTGGAGTGCAGTGATGCGATCTCAGCTCACTGCAACCTCTGCCTCCTGGTTCAAGTGATTCTCCTGCCTCAGCCTCCTGAGTAGCTGACAATATAGGCGCACACCACCATGCCTGGCTAATTTTTGTATTTTTAGTAGAGACGGGGTTTCAACGTTTAATTCCAGTTATGCAAAATGTCAATATCCATTATTACCTTTCATTCAATGTATTTATTCAACAATCATTGAGCAACTAATAACAAATGACTATATTAGCCTTTTTGAGATAAACAAAAATAAAATGATTGTTCTCCATCCCAAAGCGCTACAATATAGGAAAGAAAATAAGACAATTAGAAGTCAAGATGGAGTGAGACAAGTATCATACCTAAGGTACAATGCACAAGGTTCAAGGTTTCCCCTGCATAACTGATTTTGTTATATCTGAAAATAAGCCCAGTTGATTACTGCAAAACCTGCAGATAACTCCCAAGATCAAGGCACAGGTTTTATATAATACTTCTGACGACTGGTCTAGGTAAGCTGCTAAAGAATCTGAATACAAAAAAAAAAAAAAAGAAACTTGGAGATGAGGAATTACTATACTACAACGAATATGACTAAAAAGACAAATTCTCAGTCCAATAACTTTATATCTACTAATATCTACTAATATGTAAAAATTGTATGATCTCTACCTCCAAAAACAATTTGAAATGGTGAACCAACATTTTACTTGAAAAACTCTAAACTGGAAATTTAACAATTCTATCAAATTTATCTCCTGGTTCCCTTTTATTATGGTTCTGGAGAAATAAGCCTAAATAGATGAGAAGTGGAATGCTTCTAAATTAACATTTTACAGAGGAGATGTAAATGGACCAATTTAAACATTAACCAATCTCATTTCACATTCCAGGGAAGGGTCTCTTACCCTCTTTGCCTAAGTACATGGCTTTTTTAGCAAGTCAGTATATTTAACCAAAATAAATACATCAATAGCAGAAGAATGCTAGATATCTAAGCACCATTGCTTTCTAAAAATAAAGTCCTCTAAATCCATCATGATGCTTAAAATGAACATTTTAACATAATATAAATGCTGACAGCAGAAATAAAGCATTTAGCTTAAGAAGCAGAAAAAGCAATAAGCAATTGTATTTTTGAAAAAGGAAAACTTTAGCAATTTTATGAAAACCATAAAAATGGTTCTAAGAAAGACTATGAGTGCAAAAAAGGCGTAACAGAGAAGTCAAGTTACCAGTTCACAGAAAATAAGCACAGCTACTTCACATACCACAGTCTGAAGGCATTGGTGCTGCAGAAATGGAAAAGATAACTGGGGTATCAGAAGCAGAAAATATAAATGGGTATCTTCCAAACAAAGGATTTCCTTCTAATGGAAAATCTGGAAGGTCCTCTATGGTCATCTTCTAGAAAGCCACCTATAATAAGAAAGAAAAAAAAAGTGTTTCTACTTTATTTGTATGCAACTTAGAATGACTGCCTTCAATAACTGCCTAAAAGTTATTTGACGTCAAATCTGCTGACATTTTCAGTAAGGATCTTTTATGAAAGGGAAAAAATTCCTTTTGGCAAAACTGTTGTTAAAAGGCATACATTGCTTCACACCACCTCTTATACCAGTCGGTAGCACATGTAATCTCTCTAGACAAAGCTCAAAAGGAATATAAAATAGGTGAAAACACTTTAAATGCTGAGCTAATCTAAATGGGTGAAATCCTCCTACTCATGTAACAAACAAGGGCGTATTAACCCTTGTAGATGGATCTTTAACTTCCCATAACACTGGCACAAGTTACATCATTTGTCATCCAATAGCTCATGCCATGTGCTCATCACATGAAGATAATCTACCTTAAAATGTTTCCATTATTTTCTATCCCAGAAAACTTTACTGAAAATTAATCATATCCCTCTTACAAATCTAAGAGTTTACTAAGATTGTTCAACTTAACAAGGTCCGAGGTATGTGAGTTCTATCCTGGCCAAAGATGGAAGCCATGCCTTTTAAAGCACATGGCTTATATTACCTCTTTTTCCCAGAAAACATGAGTGCTTAGAATAAATTTGCTCTAAATTAGACTTTGTACTACACCCTAGCCTACATCTCAGAAATGATGTAGAAAGCAGAGAAACTGCTAGTAAAACCAAACTTATGAAGCTAAAAGCCTTCCAGTTTCTTTTGTATCCGATCTTTACTATCTGAAGTATCATGAATTCCTGTTTTTAAAATGTAAGCAAAACATTATAAAACTAAATGAAAAATGAGTTTAGATTATTTCAGTAGAAAGCACAGAATAAAAATAGGTAATCAATGGCTTGATCTGGTAGTAGACAACACCATACTAGCTACTACTTAATGTGTGCTCTGTTCTACTTAACCAACCCTATATCTAACTCAATTATCCTTACCATCAGTTCCCCACTACAATAAAACAGTCATTTCATTGAGCTCACTGTTGTCTTCCTAACTTGATTCATGTTTTCTTAATACTGGCAGGAACTGGTAAAAAGTAGGAGGCTTTCTTTTTCCTCAAAAATCGTATGCTTATATGGATATAGATGTTATATATTAGGTAACCTAATCCAGTTGTTACTATTTTAAGGTATTCACATTTTCTTGGATGCTAAAATTACTTACCACCAAATACTTAGAAGCATTTTGACATTAACCTTGCCACATAAATAGGAAAATGACAAGTTCATGGAATTAGTGTTATAGAGCAGCGGTGATCTTCCTCAAATACTATCAATTCCAAACAGTAATGAGTATTTATTAAGGAACCACTATATACAAGACACTATTCTAGATGTTTCAGCAAATACAAAAATGAGTTAACAGATGGTCCATGCTTCTTAGGTAGTTTACAATCTATTAAGGTGAATAAAATACCACTAATAACTATAGATTATGAGGCAGAATGGGATCTGCTCCATCACATAAGTACCAGGAACATTTGCAGTTGGAGCTTCTAAGAATCATAAATGGTGAAGAAGGTATCATCTGTGATGAGTCTTGAATGATGAATAGGTATCAATATAAAAGGGGATCCCATTAAAAGAACAGTAGGCTGGAACTTGGGATATGACTAGGAAAACAGTCAGAGGTGAGGCTGTAAGGGCTTTTTAGGGCTGTACTGAGGAGCAAATACCTCATCAAAGACCAAACCACTTACTTTCATGAGCACTGGGAAACTACTGATTTTTTTAAAGAGAGTAACATGATTAAAGCTGTTTTAGGAAAATTAATCTGACTATAATCACGGTTTGGGACTCAGACATGTTTTTATACTCTTAATTCTTCAGCAAAAAGATTCAGTGGATATCTGTCTGAGTCGGTTAAGAGGAGTCACCACATGACTTCCCTTTCAAAGGGTGGAGTCTCCCATTCAAAAAAAAAAATTTTAAGTGATCCCCAGAGCACCTTTCATTTCCTTGTAAACTGTTGAGATCCTCAAAGATACGAACTCTATCGTACACAACTAGCAGTCACCACAGGAGCTAGAATAGTGTGTTACACATATTTAACTAATATTCAAAGCTTAGATTCAAAGTGGAAAGAGGATTCATGCAATCAGATGTAACCAGCTTCATTCTTTTACATATTAGATACTTCAAGTCCAGAAGAAGCTACAATATTACCTGACCAATGCAGTGAACATTCTTTGTATTTTGTCTTTGTTGCGTTTTTCTCTAGTTACATTTCCTTATTTTCGTGAAAAACTTAACATTCTACCTTTTGTCCTCCCAAAGGAAACTATGTACCCCTATAAACTTCCTTATAGTCTCAGATTCATTTCCTAAAAGCAATTCCTGGATCTGAAGACCTACAACACCTGGACTCTTGGTCAAATGTCTAAGTATACTGATCTGAACTGAGTACACACTTTCATTCCAAATCCAACTATGGTTAACTGGTGATAACTGATTATAAAGTAAGCCTCAGGTTAAAAATATATATATATATATTGGCCCTGCCAGGCATGGTGGCTCACACCTGTAATCCCAGCACTTTCGGAGGCCATGGCAGGTGGATCACCCAAGGTCAGGCATTCGAGACCAGCCTGACCAACATGGCAAAACCCCATCTCTACTAAAAATACAAAAAATTCGCTGGGCATGGTGGAGGGCACCTGTAATCCCAGCTACTCAGGAGGCTGAGGCAGAAGAATCGCTTGAACCTGGGAGGCAGAGATTGCGGTAAGCCGAGATCCCGCCACTGCAGTCCAGCCTGGGCAAGAAGAGCGAAACTCCATCTCAAAAAAAAAAAAAAAAAATTGGCACTAATCAACTGTCTACAGAACAGGTGCCTCTGATACTAACAATAGCTAGAATCAAATTCCCCAAACTCTGATTTCTATAGGAATTTCACCCTACTCATCACTCCAAGTTAGCTGTTAGCAAAAGCATCTTACATAACGTGGCTCAAATACCTTGTGATTTTTTTTCCAAGACTCCTTGGTCCATGCTTTAACACAGAGCAGTAATAAATGGGGATGTCCACTAGCATCTTCAGGCTGGTTCAGGACTGTCTGGACCCCATAAAAGGGCCTTACTGAAGCCAGGAGACTTCAGATTTGAGATATGGTTCAAGAGTGTCCTTGAGTTATTCAACTAATAGGAGACCAAAGCTGTGTCTACATTAGCTGGAATCATGAGGCCCTTTCATTCAATTTCCTGTAATACTTTGTTATGAGTCATCATTCTCCTGAGATTCCAATCTCACCACGTAAGTATTTAAAGCATAACTCCAATGATCCTTTTATTTGCTACCTACATAACATCTGTACAATCTACTAAACAGGTATTTACAGTACTGAACACTTAGTTGGCCTTAGAGAGAATTAAAAATTGAAATACCTGCCCTGAAAAAGCTATTTATGCATTTAACAAATATTTATTCAGTTTTTCTTACTAAGTTCTAAGCTATGCAAAGGTAAAGAAACCAGATCTGTCCTTGCCCTCATATAAATTACAGCCTAGTGTTGATTCCTACCAGAAAGTTGAAAGTAGTAAGTGCTATGACCAAGGACAGCTGAGTCCTATGAAAGCACAGATTCAAGAGGGTCAACGAAGGCTTCCTGGAGACTAATAAGTTAAAGCTGTGGCATCTGACCAGCTAACTACTAGCCACATGTGACTATTTAAATTAATTTAAAAATTGGCCAGGTGCAGTGGCTCATGCCTGTAATCCCAACACTTCGGGAGGCCGAGATGGGCAGATCACTTCAGGTCAGGAGTTCGAGACCACCCTGGCCAATATGGTGAAACCCCACAGCAAAAATTAACAGGGTGTGGTAGCAGGCGCCTGTAATCCCAGCTGCTCGAGAGGCTCAGGCAGAACAATCGCTTGAACCTGGGAGGCAGAGATTGCAGTGAGGAGAGATCAGGCCACTGCACTGCAGCCTGGGTGACAGAGCAGAGCGAGACTCCGTCTCAAAAAAAAAAAACAAAAACAAAAAAAAGAGAGAGAGAAAAGGAAAAGAAAAAAAATATTAAAATTTCAGTGCTTCCACTGCTCTAGCCCCATTCAAGTGGTCAAAAGCTATATGTGGCTAGTGCTACCATATTGGGTAATGCAAAAAGAACATGTTTCTGGTCTCCGAAAGCTCTTCTAAACAGCACTGAAGGAAAACAGTGCAGCTCACTCTCCAGATGAGAAAACAATATACAAATGCCTGAAACAAGACACAAATAAAGGTTAACACACTAAAGCAAGCCTATAGCTCCATAGTTCATTATAAATAATTAACAAGGGAGCAGTAAGCCTAAAAGTAACCAGAGTTTGAGGTTTGAACAGGGAGAAAGAGTGAAGTTGATTTTATATAATCTAAAGATCACTAGTTTCAAACACGTGTCAAAATTGGAGTTGTCATAAGCTATGAGAGACAACATAGGTCACTTTTTTAAAAGCCCTTGCTGGTGGGACTGTATGTGGTAAACACAAAATGTCTGAAATGAATCCTACAAATAGAATACCATGGGCTAAATCTTCTACAAAACAGAAGTAAACACATTCCATGCATGGCTAGACTCAATCTTACAGTCCAGATAGACCGTATCAAATGAAAGCATTTAAAAAATGCATCATATTTACGAAAGCAAAATAAGCTGGAACCAGGATGGTTCTCCAACATAAAAACGCAGACCAACTAGACTCCAGCAGGTTCAAGTCTCTGCTTTCCTCCCCAGTTGCTCAATGCCCCGCACCACGTGATCCTGTGCTGTTTAGACGACTCACTTTAAATTGTGCACAAGATTCACAAACAACAAACGTCAAAGTGAAAGTGAAGTACAATTTAAGTGCTGGCGGATGTTCCTGAGGAAGGTGTTTACTGAAACCTTTCAAAGGCGCCCGTTTTATACGATGATGGTGCTACAATATGAACGCAGTCTAGTATCTCAGAACATACAGCAAGTTATTGTCCCATAGGAACATCATCCTCTGATACGTATCAAAACACTGTCTCAGCACAGAGCTGAAAACCAGAGTCTGGATGACGTGAACAGCCTGACATCTAATTCAAAGCTCTACCATCATAAGCAGTGAATGGGATCCTTAAGGATGCGGGCTCAGCTCCAGCGCTCCTTTCAACTTCCCCTCCCAGGTGCGGATGGTTCAGAATTAAGGGATCTCAGGTAGCCAAGGACTGCAAGGACAGCCATTTGGTTTAGCTTTGAAGACCCACTGGCCAAAGGTTTCTCGACAATTTAATGCGCAAGGGGAGTCAAGTGAGAAATGGGAAGAGGCCGCGTTGGAAAGCCACTGCGCGTGCGGGGACTCTCGGGGCAGCCGCGGCTGGCGGTCGTGGCCCAGAGCCCAGCTCCGCCGCCGGGTCCCGCACACCCCGCGCCCCTCAACCTAAAGTTGGGCCGTCCGTCAGCGGCCGCCACGAGGAGTCCCCATCCCCGCCGGGTGGGCCGCTCCGCCCCGAGAAGGCCTCCCCGCGGCCAGCGACACCGGTGCCCACGGGAGGCGGCCGCGGGGCTTCCACAGCCCCCAGCGCCTCTGCGCGACCCTCCCGGGGCCACTGACCTCCCCGCGGGCCCCCAGGGCCGCCCACCCCGGCCCCAACCCCGCCGCCGGCCAGCCCGCGGCCCGGGGGGGCCCCGCGCGCCCCCGGCCCACCTGCCTCCTCCGGGTCCTCTCGGAGCGGCCGGCTGGGGACGCGGGGGCGCGGAGGAAAGGCCGAGAGGCGCGCTCCCGCCGGCGCTGTCTCCCGTGGCCGCCCACGGAGCCTCCCGCCGCGCCGCTCCACACCTCTCCGGGCCCCTCCCGCTGCCTCCCACGCGGGGTGGGCGCGCGCGCAGTGCAGGCGGCCGGGCGGCGCGCAGGCCTCGGCCACGGCCCCGCGCACGCGCTGGGGACTCGGTGGGGACGGAGGAGGCAGCGCGCGCCTGCGCTGGCTCGCCTGGCTCCCGCGCCCCCGCACTCCCCAGCAGTCAGATGATCGGGCGCACGCGGGGCCGCGACCCCGGCTGACAGCGTCTGCGGGGTGTCGCAGTGTTACCTCCCCCGCCGCGAAGCCAGGCGGCCCCGGCACGCCGTGCGTGCCCACCGCCTTCACAGCCCTCAGCCTCGCGGCCTCACGTCTCTAACCTGCGGCGCCCCCACCAGCTGCTGGGGCCGGGGACCTAGTCTTACCCGTCTTGGGCTCCCCAGAGTCCAGCCGAGCGTGGTCAAGAGTACATCCACCAGTTCCCTGCTGGCAGCGCTTGCTGTAAAAGGCCTAATCCGTGCTACACCCACGTTGAGCAATTAGTTCATATCTCCTGCGGCTTTGCTGCCTCTTCACCCACGTTTTCTCCTGACCCCTTCTCCGTCTCCCAAGGACCAGACAGGGTGAAACTGTGCACCTAAAGTCGTGAACTCTGACAGCCTGACTCTCTGTCATCTGGTAACAAGAAAGCGTTACTGGACACATAGTGAGTCCCCTTAATGAGGAGACCTAGTAAGACCATGACCGAAGTTTGAAACATGGAGACAACAGTGTTACATCTATCAGCTGTCTCTGAGGCCTACAGCGGCTGCTTCATAGAGGCTGTACTTCTGTGTTCAGCGCGCACAGTGCCTGGCAGGAACAGATGTTGAATGAACGTCTGTCAGTGTCTCTGCAAGAGCAGAGGTAAGCGCTCACCGCACCCCGGAGCATCTTTTCCTGTTAGAATCATTGATTTCAGGGACTGGAAAAAGCCCCCTTCCCACTTGCCTGAATCCTCCTTACAGTGTCTTCCCACCAAGCAGTGGTTGAACACCTCCACTAACAAGGAACTCATTACCTTTTAAGGCAGCCATTTAATCTTTGATCAGCCTTTTGGAAATTTTCTACCTTAGGAGCTAAAATCCAGCTCCCTGCATCTCTCCCTCACTGGATTTTGTTTCTGCCCTGGGGACTCTTAAGTCTGACTCCAATTCATCCAAGACACACATTACCTGTCCCTTAGGCTACTCCTGATATGACCTGGTCACAATCCCACTCACCAGCATGTTGAGGGATTCTCTTGGATGCATTCCAGCTTGTCCAGAGCTCTCTTAAATGTGATTATCAGGAATGAGTGGGTGGCCTGCCAAGTGCGGAGAGGAAAGAGACTGCCACCTCTTCTTAGGTCCTATGCTTAACAACATTCACCATATCAAAATAGTTGCTAGGAGCAGTCACATCACATTGTTGAATCGGGTGGAGCACACTTGACTAAAACCCACAATATTTGAATACATGACCATCCCTGACCCTGGTCAGCTGCCAGTTTCTCTGTCTCTGCAGGCTCAGCATCTGCGAGTGCTCTCAGAGATAATGTGACACGGATACTTCCTCCTCCCTCTGAAGAGTCCACCTCCCTTTCCCTGCTTTCATCATACCCTCTTCTTGTCTGACCCACCCATCTCTTTAGCTGGTTAAAAGAAGGAAGGCAATCTGCCCTTGGTTGGCTTCAAGCACCTATAAATGAGGCCAATTGTCATTGAACCACAGAAAGTCATAAAGATCTGTGTGTAACAGAGTAGCTATTGGTGAAGTTTCCAAACGTATACAGTTCACTTTTATTGCTGATTTAAATTATCCATCTGAAATACCACTATTAGTAGGTGACAAGGCATGGCTAGCTCAGTTGTTCTTAGTTATAATAAAGATCTCTGTTAGAACCAGCCAGGCCACTGGCTTTATCTGCTACACCCAAACACTGTATGATACATAGGCAAATTCCCAGGATACCAAGCCACCAGAGTCTCCCACTCACTTAGTTGCCTTTGTTCAAAAATCTGACGTTACTTCTTTATACCATCATCAAGAATGCAAGTGCTCGTTGGAGTCATGCTTCCTAGAATACCTCGTGACATACAAGCTTTAGAACCAGGTATTGCCCAGTTAACCAGAGTGAGACTGGACAATGATATGTGGCCAGAACTTGGAACTTGAACTATTCATTGGGGTGGGAAGGCACATGGGGATGTGGACCAACTGTAGCTGCTGAGATTCAATTCTATCTGGAGACACAAAGTTCCTGAAAAGTATAGCAATAATCCACAGCGTCAGGAGGTGATCAACTTACTGGTCAACATCACAGTGTGGAGAAAGGGCATTACTCACTGACCACTGTAAGGCACTTGACCTATGGAAATCTTGTCTTCACTTTACAAATGAAGAAGCAGACTCTGGGAGGCTGCGTGACTTGCTCCATGTAGCCAGGGGCAGAAATAAGATTCAAACCTAAGTCTGTCTGATCTGAAGGCCTATGTTGATTCACTACTTTGCTAACCTACACAGGCTGTCTTTGGGGGCATTAAAGACCCAGAATGGCTGCATAGAGCAGCATTCAGGAATTCAGACACTCGGCAGCAGGAAGATCTGTCAGCAGCTCTCAGGACCCCGACCATGATAAAAGGGTTAGAGGAAATAGCAAAAGAAGACAAGGTCACTGCTTTTACATGGACTGGATATGGGATGGAATATCATCAGTTTCTAATTTGTGAGTGTATAGGGGGCCTAGGCCCTTAGGACCATGAGAGACACCCAACTGTCAGAATTGGGGCACCAGATTGGAGTTCAACTAGCAGAAGTGCTTAAATGCAAAAGATCAGAGCACTGGGCAGAGCCCCTAATATCTTCCTGTCTGTGATGTTTACAGGTGTGATCATCAGCATAAAAAGCCCAACAGAATCAACAAAGTATTAGAAGTAATGTTAGCTCAGCAAGGTTGCCAAGTACAAGATCAGTTTCTAAAAATCAATAGTTTTGTCTACATCAGCAGTAAGCAACTGGGAAATGTAACAGACAATAAGAAACCATTCACAATAACAATAAAGTTTAACAAACTCTAAAGCATAATATCCAGGAATTAACCCAACAACTTGCAAAAACTTTAAGGAGAAAATTTTAAAACTCTATTTAAGGACATAAAATATTGAATAAGTGGAGAGATACAGCATGGATAGGATGACTTTACATTGTAAAAGTATCCATTTAGTCTCCAAAGTAAATGTTATGGCAACCAAAATTCCAGCAGAAACTAAATTTTTAGGGAACTCAACAAACTTACAAAATATATAAGGAGAAATAAATTTTAAACAGTTAAGTCAATTATAAAAACCAGAGCAGACCTGCCATGCCAGATATTATGTCATTGCCACATAGTAATAAAAATATTATGGTACTGGTATAGGAACACATAGAGCAAATAGGAAACAGAATGAAGAACTCAGGAGCAGACCCACGTATAAATGCTACCTCCATTTACACAAAGGTGGTACCACAGATCAATGAGAAAAATATAAATTATTTAGAAGACGGCATTCGGGAAACTGGCTTTAATTTATCAAGGAAAAATAAAGTTGAGAGCCCCATGTTCTGCCATATACAAAGGTGAACTCCAGATAAATGGCAGACCTACATATGATACAAAAGAAAATGCAGGAGACTATCTCTATAATGTGGGTTAGGAATTTACTTCATAAAACAGGTTTGCAAAAGCACAATCCTTGAAGCAAAAAAAAATTGTATGACTTGACTGCATCACAATTAAGGGTTCTGTTCAGTTAAGAATACCATAGAAAAAATTAACAGATGGCTGACAAATTGGAAGAAAACATGTGCTATGTTCAAAAGCAACTAGGGATTAATATCTGAAATGCATGAGGAACTTTTCACAAATCAAAAGGAAGTCAATATAAAATATTTTAAAGGCCAATATAAAAATGAGAAAAGTATAAGAATAGACAATTCACAGAAGGAAAAGCCAGAATGGCAAGCAAGCATTAAAGAGATGCTCAACCCCACTTGTAATCAGAGTGGGAATATAAAGAGTGTGACCCCATAGCCACCAATATGCTGGTCTATGTTTTAAAACCCGCTCCCCAGGGAAGGAAAAGTCCTAACGTACAGTGTTTGCCAATTTCCATGGTGCAAATACTCTGAGCACTGCCAGTTTCCAGCTACCAGTGTAGCTTGAGGTCACTGAACAAGAAGTTGGGAAGAAATGTGCTTTATCAGCTCTCATGAACTGTTTTCAACACACCACTGCTTCACCCACCAGCATGGCAGAAATCAGAAAGATAATCCCAAATATTGGCAAAGATCTGGGGAAAGATGCACTGCTGATGGAAATTTAAACTGGTAAATATATTCTGCAGATCAACCTGGCAGTGCTTAGTGAAAAAAATTAGCAGTATGCTTTATGACTCAGCAGTCACCCTCCTGGATATGCCTCAGAGAAACCCTTACAGTGGTTCTATAAGCACCTTGTTCATGCAGTTTCCAGGAAGTCAGTTTCTCATTCACTAGGTGACCTTATTCAGTCTATGGCTTTAAATATTGACCAGGCGTGGTGGCTCACACCTGTAATCCCAGCACTTTCAGTGGCCGAGGAAGGATCACTTGAGGCCAGGGGTTCAAGACCAACCTGGCCAACATGGTAAAACCTGGTCTCTGCTAAAAATACAAAAATTAGCCAGGCATGGTGGCGTGCACCTGTGATCTCAGCTTCTTGGGAGGCTGAGGCAGGAGAATTGCTGGAACCTGGGAGGTGGAGGTTGCAGTGAGCTGAGAGCATGCCACTGCACTCCAGCCTAGGGGACAGAGTGAGACTCCATCTCAAATAATAATAATAAATAAACAAATATCATCTCTGTTTTCCTGATTTCCAAATTTCTATCTCCAGCCCTGAACCTCAGATGTATATCCAACTGCCTACTCAACATCCATTCTACAGCATACATTACATATCACAAATAGAACATGTTCAAAATGGAACCCTTCCCCATAACCTTCCCTATGTCAGTAAATGGCAACTCTATTCTTCTTTTTGCTCACTGGAGTCATCCTTTCTTCCTATCATATTTTTGGATTCTCCAAACCAAACTCCCTGTCTTCATTCTTCAAAAAGTTTATGATATCATTTATTAAGTAAATTCACATACCATAGAAATCCTTACAAATCAGTAGCCACTGGAGACCCCAGGAACCTCCTACTGCTTCTACCTGGGCTTGCCCTCCTCTAATCCATCTCCTTTGTCAAGGTTGCAGGTGGGGACTGCCTGCTGAAGTAGACCACAAACTGAAGAGGACTCCATTGAGCCGCACGAGACTTATTATCTGAATGGGGCTTCTCATTCCTGGTTGTGCATTAGAATCACCTGGATATCTTTTGCAAAATAAACCCTTAAAGACCTCCTCAGATATTTCCATTCAGTTGATCTAGTTTAGTTTCATGCTATTCTATGTTTATTCTTTTTTTATTTTTTTGAGACAGAATCTTGTTCTGTCACCCAGGCTGGAATGCAGTGGCGCAATCTCAGCTCACTGCAACCTCCACCTCCTCGGTTCAAGCGATTCTCCTGCCTCAGCCTACCGAGTAGCTGGGATTACTGATGCACACCACCATGGCTGGCTAATTTTTGTATTTTTAGTAGAGACGGGGTTTCGCTATGACGGCCAGGCTGGTCTTGAACTATTGACCTCAACTGATCCACCCACCTCAGCCTCCCAAACTGCTGGATTACAGGCATGAGCTGTCATGCCGGCCCTATTCTATAAATTTATTTTCCCTTTTCTTAGCCCTAGTTCCTGAGAAGACACTAACAAAGGAATTTGCATGTTCCTACATGGGGCACTGCTCCCCAGACCCTCCAGTTGCTGCCACTCTCAGACACCACATGATGCAAAGTCTTCTTTATAATTACAGCTAGATTGGAGGCATATGTTCTAGTGCTCTATAACTCTGTAGGATAACTATAGTTAACAATAATATATTATATGGTTTCAAATAGCTACAAGGAGGATATTGAATGTTCTCAACACAAAGAAACAAATGTTTGAGATGATGGATGTGCTAATGACTGTGATCTGATCACTATACATTATATGTGTTGCAACATCACTGTGTACCTCATGAATATATGCAATTATGATGTATTTTTATTTTTTAAAAAAAATTGAAGTCTTCTTAAAGCCTACATAAAGGAAGACGGAACAAAAGGAATGTCACATGGCATTAGGATGAAAATTGCCACTGTGGCACAAAAGCTAAGTTTCGGGTACCAGCCACCCCCCAAATTTTTGGCCAATAAGACGCCTCCAGAAGCATCTTTGGCACACAAAAATAACACAAGCCAGTTTCCATGAGGATGTCAGTCCAACAATCTCCCCAGCACTTGCCACTGAAACGGACTCTGACCAAGCCTCTAGAAATAACTATTATTTTATAGAAAATGTAAGGCATAATAAAAATCATTTTTTAAAAAACACCATGAGGATGCAATCATCCAACGCCAAAATGTGGGAATTTCTACAGAACAAATAACCCAATTCTGACAACCAAAAAATGGCTGAGGGGAATGGTTATAGACCAGGAGAGACATAAGAGCTCCATCCACAGCCTGCAATGTCCAGACTTTATTTGGATCTGGATTCAGACAAACAAATGTGAAAATATTCCTTAGACAAATGGGGGAAATTTAGCCTAGACTGGATATTAAATTATATTTTCAATAGTGTTAATTTTGGGAGGTATGATGATCATGACATGATGGTCATGTTTCTATTAAAAATTCTTGTCTGTTAGACATCCATACTGAAGTACGTATGAAAAATGTTTGAGGTCTGGGATTTGCTTTAATGTGCTCCCTTAAAAATAAGTGTGTGGTGGAGGGATAGATGTAAAAAGAATAAAATATTGATAATTATTAAAGCTGAATGGTGGGTACGGTAGTCTTCTCTTATCGGCAGTTTCACTTTCTGTGGTTTTAGTTAGCTGCCATCCACCACAGTCTGAAAATATTAAGTGGAAAATTCCAGAAGTAAACAATTCATAAGTTTTAAATTGCACACCATTCTGAGTAGCATGATGAAATCTCACGCCATCCTGCCCCGTCCCGCCTGGGATCTGAATCATCCCTTTGTCCAGGGCCTCCACACTGTACATGCTCCTTATCCATTAGTCACTTAGTAGCCAGCCCGGTGATCAGATCGACTGTCAGGCCATCCAGTGCTTGTGTTCAAGTAACCCCTGTTTCGCTTAATGATGGCCACAAAGCACAAAAGTAGTGATGCTGGTATAATTGTTATATTTCATCATTAGTTGTTATTATTAATCTCTTACTGTGCCTAATTTACAAATTAAACTTTATCATAGGTATGCAAGTTTAGGAAAATACATAGTACATATAGGATTTGATTCAGGCATCCACTGGGAATCTTAGAACATATCCCCTGTGGATAAAGAGGTGGGGAACTACTGTATATTATTCTTTCTTCTTTTATAGGAATTTGAAATGTTTTCCATAATAGAAAGCTTTAAAAAAAAAAAAGAAACTCCAAGAGGGCAGGAATTGTAGTCTATTTCTAACACTGCTATATCCTAAGTACCTAGAATAGTATCTGGCACATAGTACTAATTCAATAAATGTGTGTTGATTAAATGGGCCAGGGTTTTTGAAGATTTCAGTCTCAGAGTCAGGTGCAGCAGCATGTGCTTGTAGTCTCAGCTACTTGGGAGGCTGAGGCAGGAGGCTCGCTTGAGCCCAGGAGATAGAGGATGCAGTGAGCTGTGACTGTGCCTGTGAATAGCCACTGCACTCCAGCCTGGGCAGCATAGTGAGACCCCATCTCTAAAAAACAATTTCAGTCTCAGCCAGGCGTGGTGGCTCATGCCTATAATCCCAGAACTTTGGGAGGTTGAGGCAGGTGGATCACAACGTCAGGAGCTTCAGACCAGCCTGACCAACATGGTGAAACCCTGTCTCTACTAAAAAAATACAAAAAAATTAGCCGGGCATGGTAGCAGGCACCTGTAGTCCCAGCTACTTGGGAGGCTGAGGCAGGAGAATGGCATGAACCCGGGAGGCGGAGCTTGCAGTGAGCCAATATCGCACCACTGCACTCCAGCCTGGGCGACAGAGTGAGACTCCATCTCAAAAAAAAAAAAAAAAAAAAAAAAAAAAAAACTATCATGTTCCAGGAATTTAGAAATCACAGAAGCTGCCTTTGTATCACATGCACACACACACACAGGAAAATCTGAGGCGTTTACATATTGCTAAAGTACCACTGAGTTGTCTTTCTGGCAGTTGTTTACAAAACCAATCCACTCTCATCCCAGTTGGCTGTAAACCATCAGAAGCTTAATAACATCTTGATTAGGGGTTGAGAAAATGTCAGACCCATTGGAGCTGCCACAGAGTAGGTAGAAAGCAGCTTGCACCTTGTCAACAATGGATCAAATGACTCTCCTCGCCAAAGAAAGCCACTGACAGACTAATTAGCTGGTACTGAGTCATGAGAAAGTCTCCTTTGTGACAAAAGCAGCATTCATAATAAGATTGTTCCTGACATTCCCCACCTAACCATATTTGAAACAGCAGGGGATAGTTAAGGTAAAAAATAAGTGAGAATTGTTTTTTAATTCACGTAGAGTTCAACACAAGAAGAATAAGCTATTGTCTAATTTTTTAAGGCCCATCAAAATATATCATGCAATATCTTTATCATCAAGATCATCACAACCAGAAGGCACTGGGTGGCACTTACAAGGACAACAGTTTGCATACTGACCCATCAAATCATCAGCAATATGTTGAGTGCCTTCTACTTGAAAAGCAGTATGGAAGCTGGAATCAAGTGCAAGATTCACTCCTTGTTTCCTAGTAAAATAGAGAGTGTCATGGTTGCAAGTGTGGGGAACCTGAATTGGAACCCCAGAATCACCTCTCTCTGCAACCCTAGCAAGTCACTTAACCTCCCTGAGCCTCAGTTGGTTCCTCTATAAAGTGAGATAAAGAATACGTGCCTCCAAGTGTCATACAAGCCTGACTCAAAGTGAGTGCTCAATGAATAGCTGTGATCATAAGACACAAGCATGAGAACAGAAACCACCCACCCACCAAAGAACAGTGCCAGAACTCGGGATTTCTCAAGATGGAAGTACATTGCAGGATGGGGTGGTCAGGAAAGTCTTCAAGGGAAAGACATATTTTGAGCTACGTGAGAAGGGTAATGAGATCTAGTTATGGAAATAAGGAGCTAGCATTTACTGAGTACTTAAACTATGCGATGTGCATTGTTCTAAGTACTTCCATTATTTGACTTCTATAAGATAAGTATCATTTTAATTTTTTTCCAGTTGGAGAAATCAGGTCATAGAGCAGTTAAGTAACTTATCCAAGATCACATAGTAAATAGAAGAACCAAGATTTCAGCCTATGCAGTCTAGATCCAAAGATTAAATGCTGTCTCAAAAAAAAAAAAAAGATTAAATGCTAAACCATGATACCTTGCAAGAGAAAAGTCTTAAGAGGCAGAAAAGTTCAGTGTGTATTTAGATGATGGTAATCGAAGAGCCTGTGTCAGTCCTTTCAGGCTGCTGTCATGGAATGCCATAGACAAAGTGGCTTATAAACAACAGAGATTTATTTATCATGGTTCTAGACTCTAGGAAGCCCAAGATCAAGGCACTGGCAGATGCAGTGGCTGGCAGGGGCCCTCTGCCTGGTTCACAGACAGCCATTTTTCAGTGTAGCCTCACATGGGGGAAGGAAAAAGGAGCTCTCTGAGGTCTCTTTTATAAAAACAGTTAATTCCAAAGGCCTCACCTCCAAAAACCCCTCACAATGGGGACTAGGTTTCAACATGATTTGGGGGTACACAAACATTTAGTCCCTAGCAGTCTAGCTGGAGCAGACCCATGGTAAGACGCTGGTAGGAGATGAGCTGCAAAGTCAGGCTGGAGCCAGACTAGGCCAGGAATGGCCTTGAATGTTACACTGAGATGGAGAGGCTGCCCTCTGGAGACAGGGAAAACCCAGCATGGGTTTCTAAAGAGAGAAAGACTGAGGAGTCTGTCAGCACGGTTCAAAATGGAAACTCCTGCCTAACCTTTGTGCCCCATGTCTCTTACATTCTCTTAAAGAAAAAACCTGAACATTAAAGGCATATAAAAAACTTCAAGCACTTTGAAGTAAGATGGAGCAACAGAAAAGACAGTTACCTTGAGATTCTTTTACCAATTCAACTTAGATTTCTTTAAAATAGCAAATGATTGTTTACAGATGACTTCTCCACATACAGCTTAGTTCTTATATTTAATGTGTGCTCAACACCAACCGGCATTTAAAATGAAGTTGAGACAAGTTAGCCACACACCCTTGAGGGATGGAAATCTGTCTTTTCTGCCTTTCCTATCACACCTCATTAAACACATTGCAGCCTAGCAATAACACCCACAAATCATCATTTTAACCACTTGGTTATTATGTAATAATGTAATAATATATAATCTTTTGGATATGTGCCCATTGGACAAAAGCAGAGTCCCAGCAAAAAAACAACAGCCACACAGCTTCCTACGGTGCTGTCCCATCCAGCAAGGTGCTGACTGGCTTGCCGCCCACTTGCACCCCGCTCGTCCTAGCACCCTGACTTCTGTTTCTCCAGCCTCACCCATACCCTAACTCAGACTTCACAGCAGGATGCCTCTCAAGGCTCAGCTTGTCAAGTGACCTACCTACCAGGGAGCTGCATTTTCAGCAATTTAGAGGCATTGTTGCTGATAGCAATCGCCTGGCATCTTTGCAAGCAGAATCCAGTGGCATCATGAAAACATGTGTGCCTCTATTGCAAAGGCTTCGTCATACTCAGGTCTCAGCTGAATCTGAGACTGGCCACTCCCAAGCATGAGCTCCACACAGTCCTCAGCTCCTACAATCCAAAGAGACCCCAGAGGCTGGGCGTGGTGGCTCACGCCTGTAATCCCAGCACTTTGGGAGGCCGAGGCAGGTGGATCACTTAAGCACAGGAGTTCGAGACCAGCCTGGGCCACATAGCAAAACCCTGTCGCTATAGAAAATACAAAAAATAAAATAAAATTAGCTGGGCGTGGTGGCATGTGTCTGTAGTCCCAGCTACTCAGGAGGTTGAGGCTGGAGGATCACTTGAGCCCAGGAGGTGGAGGTTGCTGTAAGACAAGATCTCATCACTGCACTCCAGCCTGGGTGACAGAGACCCTGTCTCAAAACAAACAAACAAAAACAAAGAGACCCTAGAAAAGAGATTTGGTCTGTGAAGGATCTTCCTACTCCTGACTTGTCAAGCACTTACTAAGTAATTCTTAGTATGAGTAAATACCATAAGACGTGTCCCTTTCCTTAGGGAGTCCATAGTCTAGCTGAGAGAACACAATTAAAACCCATGAAAAATGAGAAGTAAGATAGAATCTCAATGTTGAAGTCAGATGTTTAGGGCTTGCCCAGGACTGAGGGAGTTCCTGGGATGCGGGCCTCAGTTTAAAAACAGAGCAGTGCTGGCGGGGTGTGGTGGCTCACACCTGTAATCCCAGCACTTTGGGAGGCCGAGGCAGGTGGATCAGGAGTTTGAGACCAGCCTGGCCAACATAGTGAAACCCTGTGTCTACTAAAAATAAAAAAAAAATTAACTGGGCATGGTGGCGGGCACCTGTAATCTCAGCTACTCTGGAGTCTGACGCAGGAGAATAGCTTGAACCCAGGAGGCGGAGGCTGCAATGAGCTGAGATCATGCCATTGCACTCCAGCCTGGGTGACAGGAGCAAAACTCCATCTCAAAAAATAAACAAAACCAGGAACAAAAACAAAAAAAAAACAGAGCAGTGCCACGAAAATTGAAACAAGTTGGTCACCCTACAGACAGATCAACATTCAAGTTCTTAATTAGCTTTGGAACCTTAAATAAATAAAATAACCTCTCAAAAACTCAGCTCCCTCATTTATGAAATGGGTATTGTAGCAGTACCTACTTTATCACGAATCTTATAAGAATGTAAGTTATGGTATGAAAAGAATTTAGCACACTCCCTGATGTTGAATAATTACTCAATAAGTGTTAAAATTATATATATAATTAATAAGTATAAAATAGCATAGAATGAAATACTGAATTAAAGACTAAATTGGGTGTTTTAGAAACTAAAAAAAGGAGATCAGAGAAAATTGGGTCATTAAGAACAGGCTTTGTAGACATAAGGTTGACAGGTAAAATATAGGTTGTCTAATTAAGTTTAAATTTTATATAAATAATAAGTAATTTTTAGTATATGTCCCATATTTTTAAACATTTTTTATCTATCTGAAATTAGAATTTAACCAACTATCTGATATTTTATATGCTCAAAGTGGCAACCCTGTATAGAGAAGGTAGAACTTAAATTGTTCTTTGGAGGGAGAAGGAGGAAAAAATGCCAGGCCCAGGGGTAAAATGAGCAGCAGTGGACTAAGGCACGGGACAGGCTGGTAGGTTTTGAGAGGGAACATCTTGAAATCCAGGCCCAAGAGTCCAGACTTGATGCAGAATATATGGGGGAGTTTTAGGGAGGGTGCTGAGGTCCTGGGGCAGGGTGGGAACCGAAAGGAAGTGGTGTACTGGGCGCAGTGGCTCACACCTGTAATCCCAGCACTTTGGGAGGCCGAGGTGGGCAGATCACTTGAGTTCGTGACCAGCCTGGCCAACATGGCGAAACCCTGTCTCTACTAAAAATATAAAAATTAGCTGGGCGTGGTGGTGGGCACCGGTAATCCCAGCTACTCAGGAGGCTAAGGCAGGAGAATCACTTGAACCTGGGAGGCGGAGATTGCAGTGAGCCGAGATGGCACCACTGCAGTCCAGCCTGGGTGACAGAGTGAGACTCTGTCTCAAAAAAAAAAAAGAAAAGAAAAGGAAGTGATGCGGTGCTTCAGAGAAGGGATGAGACACCTTGTATGGGAAAAGAATGGCTCTAAGCTGCCTCTGATGTTTTGAACGCAGTGACTGTGAGAGGGACGAGAGCCAGGGAGTTGGTGGCTGCCCTTGTGCTCTTGCAGTCAAGTGGGCAACCTGAACTCAGGTGGCAACAGTAGGAGTGGGGGCAAAGAAACAACAGAGAAGGGGCGGATACCTAGAGAGATTGTGAAGGCAGGTGATGTTCGTGGGGCAGGTGTGACCAAAGTTGTGTATATGTCCTTTCACTAACAAAACTTTCTCGTGTCCCTGCAGTCTCATTGATGACCTGAATAAGCAATTCCATGTAAATCTAGAGACGCCTGTTGAGATAAGTTAACTAAGACCAAGAAAGAAAAATAGGGTATTTTATGCCCTCCTTGCTCTTCCCCTAGTAGTGAGAAGAGATTAAAGCAATAGGGTTCATTCAGTTCCCTCATTGCTTTCCTCCCTTCTTAGAGACCCCACAGGGTTTTCCTGACCACCAGAAATGACAAAGGCCTTCAAGGAGAGTGAGTTCAACCCAGGAAAGGGGCCTGGAGAACTCAGGGCAATTTCCCTGTAGGGTCCATATTGCTATTTATGACCTCCTAAGCTGTTTGCTTTCCTCCTATGTGCACACACAAAATTCTACCCTTGTGGCAAATGAAAAAGCCGTGGTCCCATTTGGTAGCTCTCCCCCAGAAGCAGTGCTTCTCCTTGGCATGAGCCTTTAATTTTGATTCAAAGAAGCAAACGGTGCAGAGTATCTGGCTTGAGATATATGTGAAGCCAAAAACCAATGGTCCTGGGAAAACCAGATCCTAAAGATCTGCTCAGAAACTCAACTCTAAGCCCTTTATCAAGTTTTGATTCCTCACAGCAGCATGAAGGACTGTGATGGTTAATACTGAGTGTCAACTTGATTGGATTAAAGGATGCAAAGTATTGCTCCTGGGTGTGTCGGTGAGGGTGTTGTCAAAGGATTAACATTTGAGTCCGTGGGCTGGGAGAGGCAGACCCACCCTCAATCCAGGTGGGCACCATCTAATCACCTGCCAGCATGGCCAGGATAAAAGCAGGCAGAAGAACATTGAAAGGCTAGACTGGCTAAGTTTTCTGGGCTCCATCATTCCCCCTATGCTGGATGCTTCCTGCCCTTGAACATTAGACTCCATTTTCTTCAGCTTTTGGATTGTTGGACTTACAGCAGTGATTTGCCAGGGGCTATTGGGCCTTCAGCTACAGACTGAAGATTGTACTATCGGCTTCCCTACTTTTTTTTTTTTTCTTTTTTTTTTTGTTTTGGGGGGGGGAAAAAAAAAAAGCCTGTTGCCCAGGCTGGAGTGCAGTGGCACAATCTCGGCTCACTGCAACCTCTGCCTCCTGGTTTCAAGTGATTCTCTTGCCTCAGCCTCCCAGGTAGCTGGGATTACAGGCATGCACCACCACGCCTGGCTAATTTTTGTATTTTTAGTAGAGACAGGGTTTCACCATGTTGGCCATGCTGGTCTCAAACTCCTACTTCAGGTGATCCGCCTGCCTCTGCCTCCCGAAGTGCTGGAATTACAGGTGTGAACCACTGCACTTGGGCGGCTTCCCTACTTTTGAGGTTTTGGGACTTGGACTGGCTTCCTTGCTCCTTAGCTTACAGGCTGTCTATTGTGATCGTGTGAGTCAACTCTCCTAATAAACTCCCTCTTCATTTATACATCTATCCTATTAGTTCTGTCCCTCTAAAGCACCCTAATACAATGGACCCTGTCCTGTTTGCTCTTCAAAGTCACTTCCCACCTCTGCCCAATGTGATATGTGCTAAGCCCCTCCCTCTAACATTCCTGCCTCTGTAACCTTGCACAGGCCTTTCCTTCTGCTTGGACTTTGCCTGTAATCTACCTGCACTTATCCCATTCCTACCTCACTTCCAGAGCCTTCCTCTTTGCTCAGGAGGACACACCTTAAAACCAAATTGTGCATTATTTTGTATTAATGGCTCATATGACAGCATTTTTTTCCTGCCTTCTCAGTGGAATTGTGAACTTCATGGGGGTAGGGAACATTTCTTGTTCATGCCTAAAAGTACTCAATACCTACTTACTGCATTAAACTTAAATTTTAAATTTGCAACAAATGTATCACACTAATGGAAGATATTAACAGTAGAGGAAACTGTTGGGGGGCACATAGGGATTCTCCATACTGTCGGCTCGATTTTCTATAAACTTAAAAATAAAGTCTAATTTTTAAAATATTTAATTTCATATTTTTTTCCAAACCCTGAGTATTTTCTCTTTCAAGAGACAGAAGAAATCAATGAAAGAAAAAGGCAAAGAGGGGATTTAAAAGGTAGACTGATATACCAAAGTCAGTTGTGGCCAGGCATGGTGGCTCATGCCTGTAATCCCAGAATTTTGGGAGGCCACGGTGGGCGGATCACTTGAGCTCAGGAGTTTGAGACCAGCCTGGGCAACACGGCGAAAACCCTGTCTCTACAAAAAAATACAAAAATTAGCCAGTAACATAACTTGTCTCAAAATAAATAAACAGATTAAAATTTGAAATAAAATAAAATAAAATTTTAAGTCAATTGCTTTCGTATATACCAGCAGTTAACAATGGGAATTTGAAATTTAAAACACAATACCATTTACATTAGCATCAAAAAGAGAGAGAGAAAGAGTTATGTATAAATCTAACAAAATATGTACAAAATGTATATAAGGAAAATGATAAAATTCTGATAAAATAAATCTAAATAAATGGAGAGATATTTCATGTTTGTGGATCAGAAGACTCAATAATGTCAAAATGACAGTTCTTCCCAGCGTGATCTGTAGATTTAGCACAATCCCAATCAAAATTCCAGCAAATTATTTTGTACATGTTGACAAACTGATTCTGAAGTTTCTGTGGAAAGGCGAAAGACCCCAAATAGCTAACACAATCTTAAAGAACAAAGTCAGAGGATTGACACTACAGGCTTAAAGATATACTACAAAGCTACAGCCATCAAGACTGTGGAATTGGCAGAAGAATACACAAATAAATCAATGGAATCTAATAAAGGGCTCAGAAATATACTCACTCAAATATAGTCCACTGATAACACAGGAGCAAAGACAATTCAATGGAAAAAAAGGATAGTCTTTTAAATAAATGGCCCTAGAACAACTGGACAACCACATACGAATAAATGAATCCAGACACAGATCTTACACCTTTTACAAAAATTAACTCAAAATGGATCGTGGACATAAACGTAAAATTCAAAACTATAAAACATCTATCTAGAAGATAACATAGGAGAAAATCTAAGTGACCTTGGGTTTGCTGATGACTTTTTAGATACAACACCAAAGGCATAATTAATGAAAGAAAAAACTGACAAGTTGAACTTCATTATATTTTTTCAATTCTGTTCTGTGAAAAATCCTGTTAAGACAATGAAAAGACAAGCCACAGACTAGGAGAAAATCTTTGCAAAACACATGTCTGGTAAAGACTGTTATCCAAAATATACAAGGCTTAAAATTTAATAAAAAGAAAATTCAATTGTTTAAATGGGCAAAAGATCTGAACAGACACCTCACCAAAGAAGATATACAAATAGCAAATAAGCATGTGAAAAGATGCTAACATCATATGTCATTAGGGAGCTGCAGATTAAAACAACCATGAGATGCCACTACACGCCTATTAGAATGGCTAAAATCCTAAACAGCAACACCACCAAATGCTGGTGAGGATGTGGAACACAGGAACTTTCACTCATTGCTGGTGGGAATGCAAAATTATAAGTCCTCTGTGGAACATCACTTGGCAGTTCTTACAAAGCTAAGCATAGTCTTACCATATGATCTAACAATCATGCTCCTAGGCATTTACCCAAGTGATATGAAAACTTATGTCCACACGAGAACCGATACGTGAATGTTAGTAGGAGCTTTTTTCATAATTGACAAAACTGGAAACAACCAAGACATTCCTCAGTAAGTGAATGGATAAACAAACCGTAGTACCTCTATACAAGGGAATATTATTCAGTGATACAAAGTAATGAGCTATCAGGCCATGAACAAACGGAGAAAACTTAAGTGCATATTGTTAAGTGAAGAAGCTAGGCTGAAAAAGCTGTGTGAAACAATGGAGACCGTAAAATGATCAGTGGTTGTCAGGGCTGGGAAAGAGAGCGGGAAGGATGACCAGATGGAGCACAGGAGACTTTTAAAGGCAGTGAAACTATTCTGCATGATACCGTAAGGGTGGACATACGACATTATGCATTTGTCAAAACCCACCGAATGTAAAACACAAAAGTGAATCCTAATGTAAACCACAGGCTTTAGTTCATAATAATGTAGCATTATCTATTCATTGATCGTAAGAAGAAAAAAAGTCAATTGTGAAGCATTTTTAATACTCCTTTTAAGTTTGGAGTGCTGAACTGACTTTCTGATCATTCCATTACGTACAAAAGGTTGCATTCCTGTAAAATATGTCAAAGTTGCCTCATTATATATCCAGTTACTGAAACCCACACTCATCTGTCTAAAATAATGCTACGCTGTGTTCAGGATACTCACCTCTGCCTTAGCAGAAATGAGTTTCATCAGAGGGCTGTATGGACAGGAGATTGGTTTTCTAGTGAGACTTACCCAAACCATGTGACTGTCTTCTCAGTGTCACGTAGAAAAAGAATTTTCAGTCCCTCATGGGTCTTTCTCACCAAGAGTACAGATTGTTCAGCGTGTTGGTTGGGAGTGCATGGAAATGGGTGTTTTCATACTGCACTCCCTGAGGCCCCTGTGCAGATCCAATTACAGAAAACCTGGTGGTGGTGGCAGGCTTCAGCAGGCCTCCCTTAGAGTCCTCCTTTGAGAGCACCAGCCAGCGTCCCCACAGGCAGCACGAACACAATAATGGCATTGTGGAGGTGCTATGGAGACCAGATTTAAAAGGCCGAACACTATTAATTATGACCCTTCACCTACCTCATCGGCTGCCAGCAGCAATAGCAGAGGAAGAAGAAACATAAATGGGGCCTGGACTTTCACTTCACAGCAAAGTAGCCCAGGAAGTTTGAGGAGACTCAGAGTCACTGTCAAGTCGTCAAGGACCTGGGTCACCCTGCATCCCCATCTGGGGCTCCTTCTATATCAGTTTTCCTGAAGCTTAGTCCAACTTCTTGAAGTGGGCCAAGAAAAGGCTGTTTCCAGAATTGGATATTGCATCTCTAAAACACAAGCTTCACTGATGTCGTGGAGTCTATGAGACACAAACTTTATCTCATATGGTAGAATCCGGAATGGTAGGAACAGAGGGAGGGAGCAATCAGCCCATCGGAGGTCACAAAGTATCTTTGGGTGCCGGGAGTGGTCACTACCAGAGGCTCAGCTTAGGAGGGCAAAACACTTCCCATCTTTGCCCAAATTGCCACATCACCCAGGGCAAGGTTGCAGGGGTGTCTTTGACTAATGAGAGACCTGCGGTCCCAGTGTGTTTTGAAATCGTGCTCTCTGACACGCTCTAAAGAACAGAGGAGGTCAGTACAAATTGCTGGTCTTTGTTGATTTTCTTTTCTGCAAACAGATCAGCCATCGCTTCACACCCAAGGAAAGAACTGCTGTCCAGTGCCAGGCCCAGAGCTTCATGGTTTGTGGCAAGTCTTTGGAAAGATAACGTCTAACTTCATTCATTTTAGCTGAAAATACCCCATGGTGGCATTTTTCTGGTCTCCCTACTAAAAAAGTGAGCATGACACACAAAACATGGTGCATGGTTCTAGCTCTTAATAAATTCCAAGCCCTTTTGACCAAACCACTACTGTGTAGTTTCTAGGAGGAAGCTGCTTCTGCTAAAAAAAAAAAAAGAAAGAAAGAAAGAAAATTCCAGTTATTAGGGTCATATATCTGTCTTTTGTTTCTCTCTTTTTTTTGAGACGGAGTCTTGCTCTGTTACCCAGGCTGGAATGCAGTGGCACGATCTCAGCTCACTGCAACCTCCGCCTCCCTGGTTCAAGCAATTCTCCTGCCTCAGCCTCCCGAGTAGCTGGGACTACAGGCATGCACCACCATGCCTGGCTAATTTTTTGTATTTTTAGTAGAGACGGGGTTTCACCATGTTGGCCACGCTGGTCTTGAACTCCTGACAAGGTCATATATCTATTTAAAAATAAAAATATTGTGTTAATGGCATAAAGAACATTTAAGAAATTGAGGAGGTATCACTCTGTGGAGCACATCCAGGCGAGGGGAGCCTTGGAGCCTCTGGGACTTTCTTCAAACAGGAAACCATTGGCTAGGAGCTGGGGAGATCACAGTCTCTATTGAAATACCACTGCTGACAGAATAGAAGCTGCCTATGATGAGTGACTTCTCCCTGCCCTCTTTCAATATGAACGTGAATTCTCAGTCATTGTCTTCCTAATAGAAATCCTTAACCTAGAAATGTTCACTCCTGGCTTTAAAAGGAATAGCCAACCCCTTAGTACCCAGAATTTTCTATAAGCTATCATTTTTTTTTCACATCTATTGCAATAATTACTATTTATACTGAAGATCCTAAAGAGCTGAAAGATCTCGAAGTACAACCAGAATCATGTACAAAAGACTCTGGAACCTGTACTACAGTAAGCAAGCATGTCACCTGAGAAATCACTAGTCTTGCTCACTCAGGGCTCTTGACTCAGCTGTGTGAAGAAAACGTGCTGTTTGGAGCACACACGTTCACATGGCCCACTCCCTATGTTCATGCAGATGGCATAGAGCTTTGCTATACAGCATATAACCATCTCCAAAGCATCAGCCAAGAACACTATAGGAGATGCAGCAGTTTATTAGTAAAGTGTTTAATAAAAGTATGATTTTCAAGGGTGTGGGCAAAGTTTAGGGAAACCCTCAGAAAAAGGGCAGTACTTTGGGGCAGTATTAAAAGTATGTTACTACCCTAGCCTGAAAGCAAGGAGAGAGAGTGATTTTTGGAGCCGAGAGAGGGTGACTGTGTGGAATGGGGTTGCCTGATAGGGGCTGTGGTCCTCCGGAGAGGGCTGCAGCCAGCCCATGGGGACTGGCAGGGAGGACAGAGAAATCAGTATCCTGACTTGTTACAGTAGGTAGCTGGTCAGGCATGAGCAAGGCAGAAGAGGCCTCCACCTGACCAAGAATGTCAGGCAACCATCAGGTGATGGTCAAGCAGTTGTTAACTGTCTAAAATAATAATTAGTCGCAGCCAGCACCAGGGAAAGGAACTCTCCCCACAGATAGAAAAAACCTGAAACTGGTGATCAGCTGCTTCCTGATAAGATCTCAGGAGATGGGCGAGTGAGCTCCAACATGTGCAATAAGAGGCAAAAGGGCAGCGTTTAACCAAAATAAGACTTTCCAGGGACATCCTGCAGGTAGAGGGAAGAATGCCTCAAGTGAGCATGCATACAACTCCGGTAAACACCGCATATGCCCACCTCCCAAGTGCTAGCAGGACACCACACGTACAGGCAGCTCACCCCAAAGGAAGAGTCAAGGGAAAAGGGACGCAAGATGCTGGAAGTATGCCAACATATAAAACCCTTAGTCCAAGATCAAAGGAGACACTGTCCTCCAAGATGCCCACTTGGCCCTCCTCCAAGAATACTTTTTTTATTATTATTATTATACTTTAAGTTTTAGGGTACATGTGCACATTGTGCAGGTTAGTTACATATGTATACATGTGCCATGTTGGTGCGCCACACCCACTAACTCGTCATCTAGCATTAGGTATATCTCCCAATGCTATCCCTCCTCCCTCCCCCCACCCCACAACAGACCCCAGAGTGTGATATTCCCCTTCCTGTGTCCATGTGATCTCATTGTTCAATTCCCACCTATGAGTGAGAATATGCGGTGTTTGGTTTTTCGTTCTTGCGATAGTTTACTGAGAATGATGATTTCCAATTTCATCCATGTCCCCACAAAGGATATGAACTCATCATTTTTTATGGCTGCATAGTATTCCATGGTGTATATGTGCCACATTTTCTTAATCCAGTCTATCATCGTTGGACATTTGGGTTGGTTCCAAGTCTTTGCTATTGTGAATAATGCCGCAATAAACATACGTGTGCATGTGTCTTTATAGCAGCATGATTTATAGTCCTTTGGGTATATACCCAGTACTGGGATGGCTGGGTCAAATGGTATTTCTAGTTCTAGATCCCTGAGGAATCGCCACACTGACTTCCACAATGGTTGAACTAGTTTACAGTCCCACCAACAGTGTAAAAGTGTTCCTATTTCTCCACATCCTCTCCAGCACCTGTTGTTTCCTGACTTTTTAATGATTGCCATTCTAACTGGTGTGAGATGGTATCTCATTGTGGTTTTGATTTGCATTTCTCTGATGGCCAGTGATGATGAGCATTTTTTCATGTGTTTTTTGGCTGCATAAATGTCTTCTTTTGAGAAATGTCTGTTCATGTCCTTCGCCCACTTTTTGATGGGGTGGTTTTTTTCTTGTAAATTTGTTTGAGTTCATTGTAGATTCTGGATATTAGCCCTTTGTCAGATGAGTAGGTTGCGAAAATTTTCTCCCATTTTGTAGGTTGCCTGTTCACTCTGATGGTAGTTTCTTTTGCTGTGCAGAAGCTCTTTAGTTTAATTAGATCCCATTTGTCAATTTTGTCTTTTGTTGCCATTGCTTTTGGTGTTTTGGACATGAAGTCCTTGCCCATGCCTATGACCTGAATGGTAATGCCTAGGTTTTCTTCTAGGGTTTTTATGGTTTTAGGTCTAACATTTAAGTCTTTAATCCATCTTGAATTGATTTTTGTATAAGGTGTAAGGAAGGGATCCAGTTTCAGCTTTCTACATATGGCTAGCCAGTTTTCCCAGCACCATTTATTAAATAGGGAATCCTTTCCCCATTGCTTGTTTTTCTCAGGTTTGTCAAAGATCAGATAGTTGTAGATATGCGGCATTATTTCTGAGGGCTCTGTTCTGTTCCATTGATCTATATCTCTGTTTTGGTACCAGTACCATGCTGTTTTGGTTACTGTAGCCTTGTAGTATAGTTTGAAGTCAGGTAGTGTGATGCCTCCAGCTTTGTTCTTTTGGCTTAGGATTGCCTTGGCAATGCGGGCTCTTTTTTGGTTCCATATGAACTTTAAAGTAGTTTTTTCCAATTCTGTGAAGAAAGTCATTGGTAGCTTTATGGGGATGGCATTGAATCTGTAAATTACCTTGGGCAGTATGGCCATTTTCACGATATTGATTCTTCCTACCCATGAGCATGGAATGTTCTTCCATTTGTTTGTATCCTCTTTTATTTCCTTGAGCAGTGGTTTGTAGTTCTCCTTGAAGAGGTCCTTCACATCCCTTGCAAGTTGGATTCCTAGGTATTTTATTCTCTTTGAAGCAATTGTGAATGGGAGTTCACTCATGATTTGGCTCTCTGTTTGTCTGTTATTGGTGTATAAGAATGCTTGTGATTTTTGTACATTGATTTTGTATCCTGAGACTTTGCTGAAGTTGCTTATCAGCTTAATGAGATTTTGGGCTGAGACAATGGGGTTTTCTAGATATACAATCATGTCGTCTGCAAACAGGGACAATTTGACTTCCTCTTTTCCTAATTGAATACACTTTATTTCCTTCTCCTGCCTGATTGCCCTGGCCAGAACTTCCAACACTATGTTGAATAGGAGTGGTGAGAGAGGGCATCCCTGTCTTGTGCCAGTTTTCAAAGGGAATGCTTCCAGTTTTTGCCCATTCAGTATATTGGCTGTGGGTTTGTCATAGATAGCTCTTATTATTTTGAAATATGTCCCATCAATACCTAATTTATTGAGAGTTTTTAGCATGAAGGGTTGTTGAACTTTCTCAAAGGCTTTTTCTGCATCTATTGAGATAATCATGTGGTTTTTGTCTTTGGCTCTGTTTATATGCTGGATTACATTTATTGATTTGCATATATTGAACCAGCCTTGCATCCCAGGGATGAAGCCCACTTGATCATGGTGGATAAGCTTTTTGATGTGCTGCTGGATTCGTTTTGCCAGTATTTTATTGAGGATTTTTGCCTCAATGTTCATCAAGGATATTGGTCTAAAATTCTCTTTTTTGGTTGTGTCTCTGCCCGGCTTTGGTATCAGAATGATGCTGGCCTCATAAAATGAGTTAGGGAGGATTCCCTCTTTTTCTATTGATTGGAATAGTTTCAGAAGGAATGGTACCAGTTCCTCCTTGTACCTCTGATAGAATTCGGCTGTGAATCCATCTGGTCCTGGACTCTTTTTGGTTGGTAAACTATTGATTATTGCCACAATTTCAGCTCCTGTTATTGGTCTATTCAGAGATTCAATTTCTTCCTGGTTTAGTCTTGGGAGAGTGTATGTGTCGAGGAATTTATCCATTTTTCTAGATTTTCTAGTTTATTTGCGTAGAGGTGTTTGTAGTATTCTCTGATGGTAGTTTGTATTTCTGTGGGATCGGTGGTGATACCCCCTTTATCATTTTTTATTGTGTCTATTTGATTCTTCTCTCTTTTTTTCTTTATTAGTCTTGCTAGAATACTTTCTTTTCATTCCTGTCTAGAGCTTTTTGTTTTTGAGATGGAGTCTCACTCTGTCACCCAAGCTGGAATGCAGTGGCACGATCTCAGCTCACTGCAGCCTCCACCTCCCAGGTTTAAGTGATTCTCCTGCCTCAGCCTCTAGAGTAGCTGGGAATAGGTGCCCAGCTGATTTTTTGTAGTTTTAGTAGAGACGAAGTTTCACCGTGTTAGCCAGTATGGTCTCGATCTCCTGCCCTCGTGATCCTCCCGCCTCGGCCTCCCAAACGGCTGGGATTACAGGCGTGAGCCACAGCGCCCAGCCCGCTCTAAAGCTTTTTAATAAACTTTCACTCTGCCCTAAAACTTGCCTTGGTGTCTTTTTCTACCTTATGCCCCTCAGTCGAGTTCTTTTTTCTGAGGAGGCAAGAACTAAGGTTGCTGCAGACCGGTACAGATTTGCCACCAGTAACTTGGATACCTTCCACTGCCAACAAACTCACTCTCTTCCTCTGATTTCTTGCCAATGCCTCTCAAGAGCAGGAGCCCCAGCAATGCCATGAACAGGGATATGCCTCCCAGAAGAAGTGTGGGGAGGTGGGGACAGTGGTCTGCAGGGGCAGGCAGAAGATATCCAGCACTACCTGCAATTTCTTACTTTCCCTCTTTTGGTCATAGGTTTATAACCCGGCCTACGCCTCCTCAGAACTCTGAAAAATGTACCTTTTCCACCTCACAAGGCTTGGTTCCACTTTCTGACAGCAAGAGAACATTGCGAAGAGAAATGTGAATGGGTTTCATCATGATTTCTGATAAGACATTGTGTTGACCTTTTGAGGTACAGCCACAGATCAGGTAATAACTTGGAAGAACAGCACATAATGATCCCTTGGTCTATTCTAGAGATTTGACTGACACCTGGCCGCTTGTAATTATTGGAGCCAGTACAAATTTCACAGTCACTGACTTGAGTGTGCAAAAATATAATTTTCTCTATTCTTTTATAATTGAGTGTAATTTCTGCCTTGAGCCTCCATTCTGCCTCAGAGAAAATTTAATCTAGTCACTTTCAGATAAACTCATTCAAATTCGGTCATTTCTTAGTCAATTCCAGTTTACAATGCAGTCACAATTCAGTTTAAAACTCTTTCTCTCCCTTTTATTCCCCCCCTCTCCCTCCACTCTGGAATTGAATTTAAGCTCTCAATGGCTTATCCAAAAAGTCCACTTCTTGGTCTTAATGAGTCCTGTGTGCCTCTGGGCATCACAGAGTTTAGGCACTCCCTTGAAAGAGGACCTGGGTGGCCCACGGAACACAAAGGGGCTCTCATTTGTTTTCTCCATTGAGAGTGCAGCTCAGTCCCGACCCAGTTCTCATCTTATCCTGGGTTCCCAGTGGCTCTTTCTTTCTCTGCTAAATCACATTCCACAAGGAAGGTTTTGGGACACTGTGGGTGCCCTCCTGTGCCACTGAGACCTATGGGCAGCAGTCTCCAGTCCTCTTTTGCTATATCAAGATGACATGGGGCCGGATGTGGTGACTCATGCCTGTAATCCCAGCACTTTGGGAGACCGTGGTGGACGGATCACTTGAGGTCAGGAGTTAGAGACCAGCCTGGCCAATATGATGAAACCTCATCTCTACTAAAAATACAAAAAATTAGCCTGGCATGGTGGCGGACGCCTGTAATCCCAGCCACTCGGGAGGCTGAGACTGGAGAATTCCTTGAACTTGGGAGGCAGAGGTTGCAGTGAGCCGAGATTGCACCACTGTACTCCAGCCTGGGTGACAAAGTGAGACTCTGTCTCGGAAGGAAGGAAGGAAGGGAGGGAGGGAAAAAGGAAGGAAGGAAGGAAAAAGGCCCTCAGAAGAAATCAACCCTGCTGACACCTTGGACTTCCAGCTTCCAGAACTGGGAAGAAAGAAATTTCTGTTGCCTACACTACCCAGTTTGTAGTACTTTGTTATGGTATCCCTAGTAAACTAACGCAGATTGTGAGAAAATTAGTCTTTTTATTTAACAATCACACCTTTTGTTTTATTTTTGAGACAGGGTCTCACTATGTCACCAAAGCTGAAGTACAGTGGTGTAATCATGACTCACTGCAGCCTCAACCTCCCAGCCTCACATGATCCTCCCACCTCAGCCCTTTAAGTAGCTGGGTCTACAGGTGTGCACCACCACATTCAGCTAATTTTTTAAATTTTTGTAGAGATGGGCTCTTGCCATGTTGCCCAGGCTGGTCTCGAACTCCTGGGCTCAGGTGATTCTCCCACCTCAGCCTCCCAAAAGGCTGGGATTACACACTTGCCCCTCTGCTCTTAGCGCATTTTGAGATTCTTTGAAACATTAAAACCAGCTCCAGAAATCCTTAAGAGAGGCCATAATTTACAGTTACCCATCTTGAAATGTGTCCACTGTTTCCTGGTTCAGAGATAAAACTCAGTCTAGTCAAGTCATGTTCTCTCATATTATGAGTACTCAACTTTAGAAAATAATAACTTTCTGAAGATAAATTTATCAGGGTATTTATTTCTGAGCTCTCTATTCTGTTCCATTAGTCTGTGTATTTTTATGCCAGGACCTTGCTGTTTTAATTACTTTAGCTTTACAGTACATTTTGAAATCAGATAGTGTGTGATACCTCCAGCTTTGTTCCTTTTACTCAATTGCCTTAGGTATTCAGCGCTTTTGGTGGATCCATATGAATTTTAGGACTATTTTTTCTATTTCTGTGAAGAATGACATTAGAATTTTGATAGATATTGCATTGAATCTGTAGATGACTTTCGGTAATATGGACATTTTAACAATATTAATTGTTCCAATCCATGAACACAGAATATCCTTCCATTTATCTGTGTCTTCAATTTCTTTCATCAAGGTTTTAAAGTTTGCAGTGCACAGATCTTTCATCTCCTTGGTTAAATTTATTCCAAAGTATTTTACTTTTTTTGAAGCCATTGTAAGTAGAATTGTTTTATTTCTTTTTCTGATAGTTCATTGTTAGTATATAGAAATCCTATTGATTTTTGTATGTTGATTTTGCATCCTGCAACTTGACTGAATTTATTAACATCAATTGATTTTCAGCAGAGGTACTAAGAACATACATGTGGAAAAGACAATTTCTTCGATAGATGATATTGAGAAAGCTGGATGTCCACATGCAGAAGGATGAAATTGGACCTTTATCTCACATCATAGATAAAAATCAACTCAGAATGGATTAAAGACTTAAACATAAGGTCTGAAGCTGTAAAACTAGTAGAAGGAAATAGGAGAAAGCTTCATAACATTGGCCTGGGCAATGATTTTTAAAATATGACTCAAAAACCACAAGTGACCAAAGTAAAAATAGACGAATGGGTTGCATCAAACTAAGCTTTTGTCCAGCAAAGGGAAAAATTAACAGAGTAAAGAGACAACCTACAGAATGAGAGGAAATATTGTATTTGCAAACCATACATCTGATAAGGAATATCTAAAATACATGAGGACCTAAAACAACTCAATATTTTAAAAGACTCTGTTAAAAAATGGGCAAAAGCTATTCAGGAATAGACATTTCTCAAAGGAAGACATACAAATGGCCAGCAGGTAAATGAAAAGATGTTCAATATCACTAATCATCAAGGAACTGCAAATCAAAACCACAATGAGGTATCACCGCCCACCTGTCAGAATGGCTTTTATTAAGACAAAAGAAAACAAGTGTTGGTGAGGATGTGGGGAAAAGGGAACCCTGGCACACTGCTAATGGAAATGTAAATTAGTACAGCCATTATAGAAAACAGTATGAAGTTTTCTCAAAAAAATTAAAAAGAGGACTACCATGTGATCCCGCCATCTCTCTACTGGGTGTATAACCAAAAGAATTGAAATCAGTCTGCCTGGCTGGGTGCGGTGGCTCACGCCTGTAATCCAAGAACTTTGGGAGGCCGACGCGGATCACCTAAGGTCAGGAGTTGGAGACCAGCCTGAGTCCATTGCTAAAAGAAAAAAAAGAAAGAAAAAAATCAGTATGCCTATTCATTGCAGAATTCTTCACAATAGCCAAGATACAGAATCAACCTAACTGTCCAACAATAGATGAATAGAAAAAGAAAATGTGGTAAATATGCACACTGAAATATTATTTTCACCTTTAAAAAAAAAAGGAAATCCTGTAATTTACGACAACATGGATGAACCTGGAAGACATCAACCTAAGTAAAACAAGCCAGGAACAGAAAGACACATACTGTGTGATCTCACTTATATGTGGAATCTAAAATGTGTCAAACTCATAGACCAGGTGCGGTGGCTCACTCCTGTAATCCGAGCACTCTGGGAGGCTGAGGCAGGTGGATCACCTAAGGTCAGGAGTTCGAGACCAGCCTGGCCAACATGGTGAAACCTTGTCTCTACTAAAAATACAAAAATTAGCTGATCACAGTGGTGCATGCCTGTAATCCCAGCTACTCGGGAGGCTGAGGCAGGAGAATCACTTGAACCTGGGAGGTGGAGGTTGCAGTGAGCCAAGATCACATTGTTGCACTCCAGCCTGCGTGACAGACTAGAGTGAAACTCCATCTCAAAAAAAAAAAAAGTCAAACTCATAGAAGCAGGGAGTAGAATGGTGGTTGCCAGGGGAACAATGGGGAGACATTGGTCAAAGGGTACAAAGTTTCACTTAGGATAAATAAGTTCAGTAAATCTATTGTACAACCTGCTGACTATAGTTAATAATAATGTACTGTATAGTTCAAAATTGCTAAGAGCGTAGATCTTAAATGTTCTCATCACAAGAAATATGTGAAGTAATGAATATGTTAATTAGCTTGATTTAACCATTTCACAATTATACACATATCAGAAGTAGCTACTTACTTCCAAAGAGTATAGTGTGGAGACGGGGAGGAGGAAGTTCACAGGGGAGCACCGGGACAAATGCTGCACAGCCAGGGATCAAGGTCAACATCAACAGTCACAGATCACATTGATAGTATGTACCCTTGATATGATGTGATGAAAATGGCATACTACCTCTGTGATCTTCCCCTAAACCCAGAATCCCAATCTAGTCATGAGAATATCAGACAAATTCTAACTGAGGAACATTCTATAAAATACCTAAACCAGTATTCCTCAAAACTGTCAAGGAACCAAAAACAAAGAAAGTCTACAAACTGTCACAGCCAAGGGGAGGCTGAGACATGACAGCTAAATATAACATGGGCCCGGGCATGGTGGTGCATGCCTATAGTCCCAGTACTTTGGGAGGCTGAGGCAGGAGGATGGCTTAAGCCCAGGAGTTTGAGACCAGCCTGGGAAACATGGCAAAACCCTGTCTCTACAAAAAGTACAAAAATTAACCAGGCATGGTGGTGCACACCTGTAGTCCCAGCTATTTAAAAGGCTGAGGCAGGAGGATTATCTGAGCCCAGGAGGTGGAGGCTGTGGTGAGCTGAGATGGCGCCACTGCACTCCAGCCTGGGCGACAGAGCAAGACCCTGTCTCAAAAAAATATATAGATAGATATGTATATGTGTATATTGTATTATATATATGCATATATGTATAATATATAGTTATTAATTATATATATTATAATTAGCTAAAGTATATACACGTTAATTAATGTATCCATTACTTCATATATATATAATGTGGTATCCTCGATGGGATCCTTGAACAACTACAAAAAATGGACATTAGATAAAAACTAAGGTGTGATGGTTAATACTGAGTGTCAACTTGACTGGATTGAAGTGTACAAATTATTAATCCTGGGTGTGTCTGTGAGGATGTTGCCAAGGAGATTAACATTTGAGTCCCTGAGCTGGGAAAGGTAGACCCACCCTTAATCTGAGTGGGCACCACCTAATCAGCTGCCAGCCCAGCTAGAATATAAGCAGGCAGAAAAATGGGAAAAGAGAAACTGACCTAGCCGCCCAGCCTACATCTTTCTCCCACGCTGGATGCTTCCTGCCCTCAAACATTGGACTCCAAGTTATTTAATATATATTTATATATATTATAATTTATATATATTATATATTATAATTTATATATATTATATATTATAATTTATATATATTATATATTATAATTTATATATATTATATAATTATATATATATAATTATATATAATATATATTATATATTATATATCATATATTATGTACATAATGTATATTATATATAATTTATATGATATATAATTTATGATATATATAATTTATATATAATATATATTTATATATATCATATAAATTATATATAATTATATATTATATATATTAATTTATATTATATATATTAATATATATTATATATAATTTATATATATAATTTATATTACAAAATTTATATTACATATTATATATAATTTATATAATATATATAATATATATTATATATAATTTATATATTTATATATATTATACATATTATAGTATATAATATATATTCCATTAATTCTGTTCCTCTAGAGAACCCTAATACATAAGGTAATTTGAATAAGTGTGAACTTTAGTTAAAAATTATGAATCAATATCAATTTGTTAATCTGTTACATATGGTAACAAATGTACCATAGTAATGTATGGTGTTAATAATAGGGGCAACCGAAGGTGGGGATGGTATACAGAAACCTTCTATTCAATTCTTCTGTAACTCTAGAAATGTTTTTTAAAAGTCTATCAATTTTTTAAATGTTTACATTCTTTACCTGGGCAATTCAACATCCCAGAATTTGTTCTGAGAAAATAATCACAAATGTGGGCAAATACTTACCTACAAGAATATTTCAATATTATTCATAATATATATAAACTAAATGCTCAATAATAGGAGACTGGCCTAAGAAATTATTTTTCCTTAATTCGATGGAATATTGTAGTCATTAAAAATACTGTAAAGAATATTAGATGATGTGAATTTACGATATTAAGAGAAAAACTAGGCTACAGATTATACATACAGCAACATTCTGTCTTTACTGAGACATAACTAGATATACGATAGACGATTGATAGATAGGCACATTTATTTTTATTTTCCTTTGAGCTTGTCTATACCTTCTAAATTTTTACATGGTATATATTGCTTTTCATTGTGGTAAAGTACACGTAACAAAATTTACCATTTTCAGCATTTTAAAGTGTAAAATTTCATGGCATTTAGTACATTCACAATGTGCCATCATCGCAACCATCTAGTTCCAGAACATTTTCATTGCAACAAAAGGGAACCCTGTATCCATCAGTCACTCCCATTATCCTATCCAGTCCCTGGCAACCACTAATTTGGTTTCTGTCTCTATGGATTTGCCTGTTCTGGGTATTTTGTATAAATGAAATAACACAACATGTGACCTGTTGTGTCCAGCTTTTCACTTAGCATAATGTTTTCAAGGTTCTCTCATGTTGTAGCATCTGGCCAATACTTCATTCCTTTTTATGACTGAATAATAGTACATTGTATGGATATACAAATTTTGTTTATCCATTTATCAGCTGGTGAACATATGGACTGTTTCCATTTATATCTATTGTAAATAGTGCTGCTATGTTCATATTTAAGTTTCTGTTTGAACATTATTGCTTCTATAATGTAAAAATGCTGTTCTTAAAAGGTAACATCTAAATAAATTATACTCACCAAATCCCCCAGTCTATATGAGTGCTAATTCCCTAAGAAATTTCCTAAATTTGTTTACTTGTGTACAAGGGCCCAATCTTCCTTTCATTACATTTGTGAAGTTTCCAGCCCCAAATTTTAGTTTTTTTGTTTGTTTTTTGAGAGGGAGTCTCGCTCTGTCGCCCAGGTTGGAGTGCAGTGGCACGATCTTGGCTCACTGCAAGCTCCGCCTCCCGGGTTCACACCATTCTCCTGCCTCAGCCTCCCCAGCAGCTGGGACTACAGGCACCCGCCACCATGCCTGGCTAATTTTTTGTATTTTTAGTGGAGACAGGGTTTCACCGTGTTAGCCAGGATGGTCTCAATCTCCTGACCCGTGATCCACCAGCCTCGGCCTCCCAAAGTGCTGGGATTACAGGAGTGAGCCACCACACCTGGCCCCAAATTATCCTTTAAATGTTGAACAATATTTTTCTCAAGAATCTTTTCAATTCGCAACACAAAAATTGAATTAAATAGGATTTTGTAAGAATTGATATAATATTTGAGACTAGCTCGTGTCTTCATTTCCCTTTGGCTAGTTTGGAAGGCAAAGGTGATTTTTACCATTTTATCCATTATTCCTGCAGTTCTAGTTAATATTTTGCATCCTAGAGGCAAAGAACGATAAGGAAAACAATTTGCATTTAAGTCTCATGTTAACATGTTAACGGTGCACTATGTCCAGGTTGATGGTCAGCACTAGAGGTAGACTGGTTCATTATTTTTGATTGCCTGGAGTTGGGCAAATTCTAAAAGTTTCAAGCTATCAAAAGTTAATCATGTGGCGGGGGGGGTGGTGCATGGAGGCTCACGCCTGTAATCCCAACACTTTGGGAGGCCGAGGCAGATGCATCATTTCAGGTCAGGAGTTCGAGACCAGCCTGGCCAACATGGTGAAACCCTATCTCTACTAAAAAGGCAAAAATTAGCTGGGCGGTAGTGGCACACACCTGTAATCCCAGCTATTCGGGAGGCTGAGGCAGGAGAATTGCTTGAGCCTGGCAAGCAGAGGTTGTGGTGAGCTGAGATCGGGTGACTACACTTCAGCCTGGGTGAGAGAGTGAGGCTCTGTCTCAAAAAAAAAAAAAAAGCTAATCATGTGTGAATCCTGCTCAGCAATGAAAACGTCTGAACTAATGATGCATACAGTAACATGAATGACCCTCAGTATAACCATGCTGAGAAAAAGAAACTAAACCAAAAAAATAAATCTGTATGAAATTCAAGGATGGGCACAGTGGCTCATGCCTATATTCCCAACACTTTGGGAGGCCAAGATGGGAGGATCACTAGAGGCCAGGAGTTTGAGACTAGCCTCAACAACATAGCGAGACCCTGTCTCTTTAAAAATTAGCCAGGCATGATGGTGCATGCCTGTGGTCCCAGCTACTCAAGAAGCTGAGGTGAGAGGGTCACTTGAGCCCAGGAAGTCAACACTGCAGTGAGTTGTGATGGCACCACTGCACTCCAGCTTGGATGACAAAGTAAAACCCTTTCTCTACAAAAATAAATTTTTAAATCCCAAACAATGCCAGCTAGTCCATAGTGACAGAAAGATGATCAACAATTGCCTAGGTGGATGAGAAGGGGTATATAGGGAGGGATTACAAAGGGCCATGAGGAAACTTTTGGGACTGTTGGATATGTTTATTATCTTGACTGTGGTGATGGTTTTGAGACAGCCAGGTGGGTGGGGGTCCCTGGAGAAACTCCAACCAGCCTACCCACTGAGGTGGAGCCTCGGGAAGTTCATGCCCTTTGCAGCGGGGAGGAGCCCTGTCCCTCCTCTTCCTGTATGGAACCTGGGATTCGAACGGTGGGTGGGAAGTGCTCTAGCAGGGACTCTGGTCTAGCGAGAGTCTGTTTCCCCCCTTTCTCTCTTTTTACCCAATAAAACCCCATCTTACTCAATGGTCTGCAAGCCTGAATTTTCAAGGCCATAGGACAAAGAACCCCGTCTTTAACTGAACTAAGGAAAAGTCCTGCAAAAGTTTCATGGATGCATGTGTGTGTGTAAACTCATCAAACTGTATATTTTAAATACATGTGTCAGTTATACCTCACTAACAGCACAAAGTAAAAAAAAAAGCTAATGATGTGAGCTGCTCATACAATTATTATTAAACATAGTTTAAATGTGTTCATAATATTGGTTCCCTTTTTCTATTTATTCGCATTTAATGTCAAAACACCAAAGAAGGGTTATTTGATGTACCTCAGGTTAGAGGCATGTTTGTTCTTGGTGTCTTTATTAGTAGTCTATTTTAAATGTTGACATTGTTGTAAATTAGAATCTACAGAGATCAACTCCCTGTTCTGCATAAATGCCAAAAGGATATTAATCTGGTCCAAAGATATGCTCCTTTCACAAGGCCGAAGTATTTTAATCATCACCTCCCTGGGTTATTCTTCAGAGTCAGTCTTGGGTAATTTATCTCCTTTAAATATTATTATGAATACTTATGGGTTTTTTTTAGGGGAGGGGGCCTATTTTTGTCATGGTAATTCTAAATGTATAAATAGAATTTTTTTTTAAGTCATGAGCAAGCAGGAATGAAATTTCCCAGCAATAACATTAAAAAGTTATAAGCAGGGTTATAAGCAGTGGTTGATGTCCCATTCCCCCGTTCAGCACAGACAAACCATCCTTATGGATAAATGTAAAGGGGAACTGAATCTGCTATCTGCTCTTCAGTCTAAGAGCAGACTTTAGACGAAGTTATAATACAATAAAAATTTAAATACTGTAACTTTTTCTGAGAAAAATGCACACAATATTTGAGTTGTCTACAATATTTCAAAGACTCTGAGCTAGTCTGACTCTTGTTGCATAACCCTGGGAAATTGTGAAACTCAGTTCTGACTTATGTCCCACTATGATGAATTCATATGACCCAATGTCTTTCCTCAAATTTGCCACACACACAAATGTCTACTCACAAATTCATAAGCAATAACTAGAGTGAAGAGTCTATTTTGAGAAGTTTGTACAAGTAGCAGCCACTATCTTTCCAAAGCCCAGGGTACTGATGGTGGCGGTGGCCTATTTGGAGCAGCTGCTGTGGGGATGCCAGCTGCAGTGGGGAAGGTGAAGCTGGGGCTATGCGTTCCACCGAGCCAGAGGAGGGCAGTAATAGGTGGGAGTCCCGCCCCCTACCGAGTTGGCTGGTCAAGAGCACCTCACTCCCCAGTGCAGCAGCAGCCACATCAACACAGCTCCAGACCCGGGCATCCCTGTACTCTCAGGGGCATGGCTAGCCCCAAGCTCCCACAGGCTTGGAAGTGCCTGCTCCTACTCCCTGGCCTCTCCCAACTCCTGGCACCCGCTCCAATTTCAGAGCCTGAGCCTGGGTGCTGTCATGGCCCGGCTAGGTGTGTACACGCTCAGGGCAGCACTGACATGCCAGACATCCTCCACTGCCTTGGCACCTTCTGAAACTTTGAGCACCAACGAGCTCAGGAAGGGAGGCCAGGAGGGCTGAGGGAGGCTTAACGCAAGCCTGCAGGTGCCCCTTGGTGTGAACAGCCTGGGTGCCATGGAGGTCATGTTGATGGTGGCAGGAGTCAGACAGGTTCCTAGGAGGGAAGGGGTGGGTCCCCAGTGAAGCCCCACTTTCAAACCAGGGACAGCCTGAAGCCTGGGGGCCAGGCTTTCAGTCCCAGGTGGTGTCCATGACCCAGAGCGAAACTTTATGGTGCTTTTTCCAGGCACACCCATGGCCACCCATGGACCAATCATCACACAGTTCCTCCCTTCTGAGCCCATAAAATCCCTGGATTCAGCCACACTTGCATACTGGTCAGGATGACCTGCCTGTGGAAAGGAGCTGCCCACTATGGGTCTCCTCTCCACTGAGACCTGGACACTCATCAGCATGGCCTGCCTGTGGAAACGAGCTACTCACTTCGGGTCTCCTCAGAGCTATTCTGTCATTCAATGAAGCTCCTTACTATCTTGCTCACTCTCCAGTTATCCACGTGCCTCATTCTTCCTGGACATGGGACAAGAACTCAGGACCAGCTGAATGGTGGGACTGAAAGAGCTGTAACACAAACAGGCCTGAAACATGCCCCCCACTCACCACATTGTGAGTGACGAGAAGGAGAGAAGAGCTGCAGCCCTTCTGGGAGCCCAGACCTCAGGGATCCCCAAGTCATGGCTATGACATGCTGTAACTCCCTCTTTGGGGCTTTGTGGTTCCTGGTATCTGACCTTTCTGGTGTTATTGCTTTCCCCTTGTCCACATGCTGGTGCCCACAGCAGAAGCTGCTTGCAGTACGTCTGGTCCAGCTGCAGCCTTGCACAGAGCCGGCACCTGTGCGGGCGCCTGGAGCTGCCTGCCCCACCACAGCCGGCACACCTGGCTGTGTGCAGTGGCTGGACCCTGCACTTGCTCACTCACACACCCTGGCAGGTATGGGATCTGGGCTGAAAGCAGGAGCCACGCGCAACCTGATGGGCCAAGTGAGCAGAAGGAGCCCAGCAGGCATGAGCAAAACTGAAACAGAGGCACTGCTAGCCACAGAGGTTTCCAGCTGGCAAAGCAACACCCTAAGGATCCCATGACAGTACATACATGTAAAAGTAAATACACAAATAAACAACCAGTCAAAAGTCAAGAAATTCGAGTCTGCTCTTATTTCCCTACAGGGAATTAGCAAACCATCCCACAGTTCATAAGGACATTGACACAGTTTTCCCGTAGGTTCTTCTGATAACATGGCTGAGCAGTGGTCTTACAGTTTGGGAAGAATTCTCAATTAATTCCTTCCCTGTGTGCTGTGTTCTGACTCAAAGCCTAGCATTTCTTTCCCCAAGCTATCTTGTCTTCACACCAGAGCTAAGTTCCAGAGGACAGGGACAATCCTCTGTTACAGGTGGAGAGACTCATACCTAGGGGACAAAGGCAAAGATCTGAGGATATTTCACAGGCTTGGGGAGTAGAAGAAAAGGTAGGAATGAAGAAAGGGCCTGTGGACTACATTTCCCAGCCCTTTTTGCATCTAAGTAGGGCCATGTGATAAGTCCTGCCCATCAGAATGTAAGCAGAAATGATGGGTGTCAACTCCATGCAAAGACAGTCAAGGATCTGACCTACCTTCCCCATACTCTCTTCCCTTTCCGCCCTGTAAGTCATGTATTGAAGATGTTCATGTTCCAAGATGGAAGGGCTTAAATCCCTGAGTCACCATGTGGAGTAGGGCTGTTTAAGAGAATGTCCCAACACCTACACTGGCATTGTATAAACAATAATAACTCTTACTGTGCCAAGTCACTGATATTTGGGGATTGTTAGTTACAAAAGTTAGCCTACCCTTTAAAAAAAAAACTCTAATTTATATGTAAGAATTGAATCTATTTCAATAAAACACTTTCTATCATACAAAAAAACTAGATAAATGTTTTTCAAGCTTGTGGTACATTTAGGATACTTTGATTCTAAACATACACTACCTTGTGTACATGAAATTTGCTTTGGAGGATACTTAGAGGCATCTTAAAGGTTTAAAGAGTCAACCTCCAGAGGTACAATGTACCTGTGTGATGACTGATCCAGACCATACGCCATGCACACTAAGATTCAAGAAAAACAGGCAGGTGTTTCTACTATCATCACCAAATCAAAAGCTACTTAGGGCAGACACCTGGATATCACATGTTGGTTTCTGATAGAATTGTGTATCCCACGAGCAACTCTGGATGGATTGCTCTAAGGTATATAACAGTAGCCAGAATGGTTCTTTTAATGATCCTCCAAAGCAAAGCAAGGAAGGCCAGCTTCTGAAAAGATAAATGTAAAGTGAGTGCCTAATGAAGTGCGTGGGACACAAACATGGCCTCCTTCCCCGCCAGCTCACCACAATAGATGCGTGCTTATCTCTCTGTTACCTGTTCATCTCACATCCAGACCAAGGAACTGTGTTGCAAAAAGCACTCCTTCAGATATGGAGGACCAGGTATGTCCTAGGTAGGCCTTGACTAGTGGGAAATTTTTCTTGGCTTTTAAGGTACAGGAGAGCCCCTTTGGTGAGGCTGATAGACTTTGAGGGGTAAAACATTTCTTAGATTGTTTAAATGACTTTCAGTCTTGGCTCAAAACTGATGTCACACTAGAACCATCTTTTGCTGATCAATTAGTTCAGGGCCACATCAAACAAAATGGCATGGAATTTATTTAACATGCTAAAGGGGAAAGACTAGTACCTTATAAACTAATGTTTAGTATAGTTACACTAGATGCATTGGTTTGAGCTATGATATGGCCTGATCTTTTTTTTTCAAGTGACCTTTTGAAGGTGGAGCCTAATTTTTCTCTCCTTGAATGTAGACTCTACACAGTGACCAGCTTCTACAGAATAGAATATGGAGGAAGTGAAGGTGACCTTTGGGATTAGAACTTGCTCTGGGGGAAGCCAGCTGTTCTGTTGTAAGAACACTCGAGCAGCCCTACAGAGGGGTCCATGTGACATGTAACTGAGGCCTCCTGCAAACAGCCAGCAAGGAATGGAGGCCTTCATGTGAGTGAGCTATCACAGCCATGTAGATGAGCTATCTTGAAGAGAATCATCCAACCCCAGTCAAGCCTTCAGATGACTGCAATCCCGGCTGACATCTTGACTGCAAACTCATGAGAGATCCTTTTGAGTTGCCCCCAAATTCCTGACCCACACAAACTGTGAGATGTTATCTCAAGCTCCTTATTTTTGGAGTAGTTATACAAAAACAGACAACTAATAGAGGGACCCTTTTCCAAGACCTAGAGCATTATAGCTAGGACCCTCTTAGGCGCCAAGCAAAGCATACAATACCGCATTTTAGTTAGATGTGTGTGTGTCTGTGTGTGTGTGTACACGCAAGTGCAACATAGAGTGTGCAACTTCATTGTACAACTCAAGGAATTTTTGCCTATATAGTATATACCCATATAACTACCACCTAGGTCAAGATGTGGAACATTTCCAATACCCTAAAAAAAATTCCTTCATGTCCACAACCAGTTGATAGCTCTTCCTAGAGATTCACCACTTTTCTAATTATTTAATATAACTATGGATTACTTGCCTGTTCCCGAACTCCATAAAAATGGAATGTTTCACCTTGCACTATTTAATGTCTAGCTTCTTTCACTCATCATAATGATTTTAAAATTTATGCTGTTGTTACGTTTCATTAGTTTGTTCCTTTCATTGCTAGGTAGTATTCCATTGTACAATTATATCAAATTTATCTATTTCCCTATTGATAAACATTTGGGTTGTTTCCAATTTGAGGCGATTATGAGTAGAACTATAAATTTTCTTATAGCAGTCTCTTTGCAGACCTTTATGTTCAATATTCTTGGGTAAATTCTTAGGAGTGGAATTGACGGGTCACAGGGTATATTTTTAAATAACAGTTTTCCAAAATAGTTGTACTTTTATATGCCCACTCAAAATAATTTTTTTCATTTGAAGCAAATCCAATTTAAAATAAAGAAAGACAAAAGTTGGTCTTAATGAAAAATGAACAGCAATGAATAAAGAGCTTCCTAAATTACTTGGAATAGTCAAGGAAACTCATGTGTAAGGTACAGAGCTATCTGACAGCAAATCCTCCAGGCAAACACTTTGATTTTGATCATTGGTTTGGAAATAATTTTAGTCACTTAGATAAAAGTTTTTCACAAAGATGAGTCAAGCAGGGGCCCAAATCCCAAGAGAAGAAGAATTTACATAAAGCATCCTCCAGATGAGTTTTTCACTCTGTTAAATGGATGACCCGAAGGGAAAAGAAAGCCTTCCCACGTGGCACCCTTGTTTACTGGGCCAGCTCAGCACTGTGACAAATGAAGCAACGTCTTGATGCCTAACGCAGCTCGCCTGCAGGCACTGATTCGGCTTTGTGTCTCGCCTGAGTTCTGCTTCAAATAAACAGATCGGGGAAGTTTATTAATGATGCACTCTGGGGCATCGGGCTGTGATAGGCAGCAGGCGCTGCACACAGCCCCAGTGGCCAGTCTCCAGCTAGTACAAGAGGCAGCTCTAAGTCCTGCCTGTTTTGGAGACATCCTGACACCCATGGTGTTGTTTTCGTTGGTTGTATGAAGTGGGAAAAAATGAAGACTGGAAAGCCAGAATAGCAACTCCAATCTCAGCAACTTCAGGGGGATGCTCAGAGATGCTCAATGCAATGTTTTTCTATTTGGAAAATTTCGAAATTGGCAACAACCTAGATGCCCAAAAATAGGAAATGGTTAAATAAAAGCCCCTCTCCCTCCTGCAGACAGTGGGAATCATTGTGTTTGAGAGCCGAGAAATTAAACAATGAGGCCTTAGAAAAATCCTGAGGCAGCAGTGGATTGAGCACAGGGTGGGGGTGGGGGGCAAAAAGAACACCAGATTCAGAGGGCTCTAAGTGCATCATAGGCAATTATTTCCAGACCATTCAGGAATAAACCAACGCAAACCAATGAAATTCTTATGACTTTCATTATTATAAGTGCCCTAGCTTCCAGGGGGAAAGGAGTAAGAAACTTTTTTTTTTTTTTTTTTTTTGAAGACAGGGTCTCACTTCCAAAGTCCAGGCCAGCTTGCAATAGCACTATTACAGCTCACTGCAGTCTCAACTTCCTAGGCTCAGGTGATTCTCCCACCTCAGCCTCCGGAGTAGCTGGGATTACAGGTGGGTGCCAACATCCCCAGCTAATTTTTTGTATTTTTAGTAGAGACAGCCTCACCATGTTGCTCAGGCTGGTCTCAAACTCCTGAGCTCAAATGATAAGCCTGCCTCAACCTTCCAAAGTGCCGAGATTTATAGGCGTTGAGTCACCACACCTGGCTGAAACTGCATGTTTTTGAGTACCTACCTTGGGTCAAGCACTTACCAAGTATTAATTGACAATCCTCACAATGGCTCTGTGAGGTAAGTACCGTGGTCCTCATTTCAAAGATGAGCTCTGCCTCAGGAAAGCTTAAAAACTATCAGAAGTTTCCTCAACTAACAGGAGAAAGACTCAGGATTCAAACTCCAGTCTTTCTAGGCCAAGCTGTTGTTCTAGATTTTACTGACAGCAAATAAAGTTTAAAAGGAGGTTTTAAATGGGCAGCTGCTACCCTTAGCCACAGGCAGGAGCCCCATGCTCAGTTTGAGCAGAAAAATGGGCTTCCCCTTGAGTTCTCCTCTTAATAATGAAATGGCTCTCCACTGCCCAGTTTTTAGCTTGTTTTCCTATGAAGAAGTTTGAATAAGAAGCCTCTTCCCATGAAAGCATTGCCTTCCTGAGCGTAGTGACCAGCCTTGAGCTTTACATGGCAGTGACTTTTCCTGCTGTCCCCATCCAAACTGGGGGGGATAGCTTTCCTGCTACCTAACTCAATTTTCTAATGCAAAGGAAAAGCAACCTGCCTTCTTCATTCACTATCTTATTTAGAGACATTCTCTATACTAGAGTCCCGGGGTTTTTATAAGCCACACAAACAATAATGCATTACTTCAATTATTATCTATTGTGTGTTTTGGGGGCTTCTTGATAACAGCAGATTGGAGCACACTTGGCTGGTTTGCCCTTATTAAACCGTGAAGGTCACTTCTCTTCCAGGGCCTGTAATCAACGAGCCCTCTCTTCTCTTCCACAAATGCATCTCTTCCAGAGCCTTTGCAATTATGGCTCATTTCTCTAGGTTTCATATGGCAGGCGTCTGAACAGAATTAAAAGCATGAGCACGTGCAAAAATAATCCGCTTCCCAAGATAGTAAATGCTGAGAAGTTCTATATTAGAACACACTGTGAGTGCTGACTGGCTAGGGCATGATTAACCTAATAGGCTTAAGCTGCACTTGCTATCCACATCTGTCAGGACGCGAGCAAAACACAGGCCCGTAATCCACCAGGCTGGGAGCCTTCAGAATTGTCCCGCTGCTCACTAACAGCAGAGGGTTCCAAACTTAGAACAACAACAGGACGACAGGTACCACTCCCTCTTCACATTTGGACCAAGAAAATAAAGAAAGCTGGTTCCAAGTTTAGGATATTGTACCATGGACTTCAAAGAATTCTGGCCTGAAAATTGCCTGGATGGACTAGTAAGATTGCCTTTTGTTCCTATTTCAAATATGATTCTTGGAAAATTGTGAAGGTGGGTGGAAGATGACTACAAGCTGAAATCATGGGGTGTACACCTTCACACAGTGACCTTGTAAACAGCGTTGCAAAGAGTGGCATTCAGTTCTTGAAAAAGCCCAAAGCAATTCGGCCAGGATGTCAGGGCGGAAGTGAAAGAGGTTCCATCCCTTTGCTGGTTAAAAACTCCACCTGCTATGACGCTGGGGAGGGCCTGGCAGAGGAGCAGCCAAGTCCCAGGAGGAACCAAACCACAGCTAAAGGTCTTTGTCAGCTCATGGGAGATCCTGCTTCAGGCAAAAGGAAAGATATGGAAGGACTGATCCCAGGAACCAAAACCTCTTCATCCCAGCTGAACAAATCACAAAGCCACATGGCTAAGGATATTCCGTTCAAGACACAGGGTTCCCATGGATCACAAGGGGCAGACTTTTCTGGAGATGAGAGTGAGGAAAGTAGTACCCAAGATACTTCCAAATGGAAAAGGACAGCAAAATGTCACACGTCAAGCACACAGAGCCACTGCTACCAAACCATCCACCCTGCTCATGAGCCTGAAGGCAAAGTGGACTTCCCGGAGCCTCTGGTAAAGGCCCACCAGCAGGCTTACACCTATCTACACTCCAGCCTCTCCAAATATGAAGCAATTCTGTGCATCATCCATCAGGCCACCCAGACCCGGGAGCTGCTGCAGCCCATGGTCAGCTTCTTGCTGCTGTGCTTTGAGGAGATCAGCCAGCTGTTGGGGGAGATCTCCAAGGATGGAGAAGTGCTCCTGCAGGAAGTCAGGGAGGATCTGGCTTGGCCTTTGAAGAAAAGAGAGCCCCAGGAGCAGCCAAATCTCCTGCAACAGCTGCTACAGTACACAGTCAGCAAGCTGCAGGTGCTCAATGGCACAGTGGCCTCGCTCACCGGCAGCTTCCTGGAGGGCTCCAGCAGCTACCTCCACTCCACTGCAACCCACTTGGAAAATAAGCTGAGCACAAAAAGGAATGTGGATGAACGCCTCCTGAGGGCTCTGAGGCAGCTAGAGAGCCTGGCGAGTGGCTGTGGCGACCCTGGGGTGCAGGGTCTCCCCTTATGCTCTGAGGACAGTGGCATTGGTGCTGACAATGAGTCCGTGCAGTCGGTGGACAAGCTGGGCAAGCAAACCAGCTGGGACCTTGCACCAGAGCCCGAAGAATGGAAGTCGGTGACTTCACCCCACACAGAGGCCAGGCAGTCAGGACACACCTGGCAGCAAAGTCCATTCTGTTTGGGCTCAGGCAGACCCCAGGACTGCCTGCTCTCAGGGGCTCCTATGGCAAAGGTTCAGCCACGAGCACAGGACGAAGCAAGGAGCCCATGCCTCTCCAGTACAAGCCCAGAAAATATCACCTCCCCACCTTTGAAGCTGGGGACAAGCACCCCATGTGATTCCTTTGGGATTGGGGTCTCTGTGGAACCACACCTTTCCAAAACCTCCAGGCCGATGGACGCTTCATCTCTTAGTGACAGCGAGGACAGCAGCCCAGAGGAGGAGGAGGAAGACAAAATGAGCAGCATGAGTCTGTGTGCCTGGCAGGAAAAAACTCCACATTCAAGGCCACAATCTTCACCTGCTGACCGGGAAAGCCCATTTCAGGCCCGCACCAGGAGGCTTAGGAGCCTCCAGGCCCAGGAAATGATTCTGAAGATGAAGGAGTCAATCAGCGAAAGGATCAAGTTTGTCCCTGTGCCCTGTGGGCACCAGGACTGGTCTGAGGAGGAGGAGGGGAGGACAGTGGTCCCCCCAAGACCTAGCACGGTAAGTGGCAGCAGGAGGGCCCCTGAGAGGCAGACGAGGTCCCAGTCAGAGTCGTGTCTCCAGAGTCACGTGGAGGACCCCACCTTTCAGGAGCTGCGAAGGGTCCAGAGGGACCTCAGTCAGAAGCTGGAGGCATTTTATGCCCTGGGTGCCAAAGGGCAGGGGCAGAGCCAGGAGCAAATTCTGCAGCCCAGAGCAGCCGCCGTGTGGCCCAATGGCACCTGCAGGGTCAGTCCAAGCAACACCACCAGCAGGCTCAAGGCATCCCTCACCAAGAACTTCAGTATTTTGCCTAGTCAGGACAAGAGCATCTTGCAGAAATGCAATCCCCATCCTGAGGACGAACAAGGCAAAGCTGGGAAGCTTCCAAATGCCATCCCATCAGGAGAGGTCAGTGAGGCTGCCAAGGCCACAGACTGGAATGTCAGAGGCTGTCCCACCAGAACATCCGTCAAGAAGCTTATTGAAACTTTCAGTCCCACGGAGAGTCTGAGGATGCTGGGGGACTCTAAGGACGCTGGGGCAAGTCCCTGCCTCAGGAATTGCATCATGCCCCCCAGATTTCCCAAGTACACAGGGCTTGCCCCTTTGTATCCGAAGCCCCAAATTTCTCCAGCATCAGGCAGAGAATCTCTCAAAATGGGCATAGGCTGGAAGCCCTTAGCACCTATCTTTCCCCCTCTGCCTAAAGCAGAAGCAGCCAAGAGTGAGGAGCTCAGCTGTGAAATGGAGGGGAACCTCGAGCACCTCCCTCCACCGCCTATGGAAGTTCTGATGGACAAATCATTCGCTTCTCTGGAGTCCCCAGAAAGCAGCAAGTCCACAGAGAACTCCCCCAAGGAAACCCAGGAGCCAGGGCCGGGAGAGGCTGGCCCCACCAGGAGAACATGGGCTTCCCCAAAGCTGAGGGCCTCTGTGAGCCCCCTGGACTTGCTGCCCAGCAAGAGCACCGCCAGCCTGACCAAGCCTCACAGCACAGGGCCAGGGAGTGGCAGGAGCAGCTGCCAGCCCAGGAAGCCAGCCCTGGACCTGAGCAGCCCACCAGCCACCAGCCAAAGCCCCGAGGTGAAGGGTGGGACTTGGAGTCAGGCAGAGAAGGCCACCAGCCTCTACAGGCAGCCCCGGAAGGCCATCGCCTGGCACCACTCCGGCCCTCCATCTGGACAAAACAGGACCTCAGAGTCCAGCCTGGCCAGACCAAGGCAGAGCCGAGAGAGAAGCCCCCCTGTGGGCAGAAAGGCCTCTCCCACGAGGACACACTGGGTGCCTCAAGCAGACAAGAGGCGCCGGAGCCTTCCCTCCTCTTACAGACCTGCCCAGCCAAGCCCCTCTGCTGTGCAGACGCCCCCCAGCCCACCTGTGAGCCCCAGGGTGCTAAGCCCACCCACCACAAAGCGGCGAACTTCCCCACCGCACCAGCCCAAGTTGCCCAACCCTCCCCCCGAGAGTGCACCTGCTCAGTGCAAGGTCCCCAGCCCCCCAACCCAGCACCCAGAAGCAAGCCCCCCTTTCTCGATTCCCTCCCCATCACCCCCAATGTCCCCTTCTCAGGAGCACAAGGAAACAAGAGACTCTGAAGACAGCCAAGCAGTCATAGCCAAAGTGTCTGGGAACACACATTCCATATTCTGCCCAGCTACCTCCTCTCTGTTTGAAGCTAAACCGCCACTCTCAACAGCCCACCCACTGACCCCACCATCGCTGCCGCCAGAGGCTGGGGGCCCTCTCGGGAACCCAGCAGAATGCTGGAAGAACAGCTCAGGGCCTTGGCTGAGAGCAGACTCGCAGCGGAGAGCAGCTCTGTGTGCCCTCAACCCTCTGCCTTTCCTCAGGAGGACAGCTTCTGACCGCCAGCCAGGTGGCCGACCGCAGCCTCCCACCTTGGACCCCACCAGCACCTCTTATGAATCCCAGCTCGGCCAGAACAGGTAAGGAGTGTCCTGGGGTCACTGCCCTTCAGCGGCTTGGACTAGAGAGGAACAGAGCGAATGGGCCAAAAGATCTTCTGGGTCTCAGTAGTTTTCAAACTGTGCTCCAAGAGAAGAGGCAGTTGGGAAAAAGGTGTAGGGGGCAGTTCCAGCTCCCCCACTCTCCAACCTTGAGTTACTGTGCTCTTATCTGTTACACATTCCAGCTGCCTAGGAAATATTTTAATTGAAAAGAGGCCCTGCTGTATTAAAAAAAATCAAGTTCAAATGAGAACACATGGACACAGGAAGGGCACACACCGGGGCCTGTTGGAGGGTAGGGAACAAGGGGAGGGAGAGCCTTAGGACAAATACCTAATGCATGCGGGGCTTAAAACCTGGATGATGGGTTGATAGGTGCAGGAAACCACCATGAAACAAATATATCTATGTAACAAACCTGCACGTTCTGCACATGTATCCCAGAACTTAAAAATATATATATATATCTCAAAAAAATAAAATAGTAAAGTTCAAAACACTCAAGTTAGTTCAACCCCACACACCCCATGTTTTACAGCTGGGGAAACTGAGATGAAAAGGCTTGCCCCTGTGGCTGGCTCACTGGTGCCGTGTCTCAAACCAGCAGCCTGGCTCCCCATGTTTCTGGTTCCCCGCAGGAGACCAGCATCTAGTTGGGAGGTTCTCAAGCTATTTGGTCCCAGGATGGCTTTAAACCCTTTAAAGTTATTAAGAGCCCAAAAGAGCCTTTGCGTGTGGAGGCTATATCTATCAATGTTTACTGTATTGGAAGTTAAAACTGAGAAATATGTAAAATATTTATTATTTTTTTAAAAAATACGTTAACACAAATAATATACTCTTATAAAAAGTGTGTATTTTCTTGTGTCCACTTTTTTTAAAGCTTTTATTTTAGGTTCATGGGTACATGTGCAGGTTTGTGATGTAGGTAAACTTGTGTCACAAGGGGTTTATTGTACAGATAGTTTCATCACCCAGGTACTAATAATACACAATAGTTATTTTTTCTGCTCTCTCCCTCCTCCCACCTTCCACCCTCAAGGAGGCCCCAGTGTCTACTGTTCCCCTCTTTGTGCCCATGAGTTCTCATCATTTAGCTCCCACTTATAAGTAAGAACATGCAGTATTTGGTTAGTTTGCTAAGGATAATTAATGGCCTCTAGCTCCATCCATGTGCCTGCAAAAGACATGATCTTGTTCTTTATTATGGCTGCATAGCACTCCATGGTATATATATGCATTACATTTTCTTTATCCAATCTGTCATTGATGGGCATTTGGGTTGACTCCATATCTTTGCTATTGTGAATAGTGCTGCAATGAACATTTGCATGCATGTGTCTTTATGAAAAGAGTATCTTCTACAACAACAAAAAATTTAGGGAGAAGAGTAGCACTGTCTTACATTTTTTCAAACCTTTTTAGCATCTGGCTTAATATAAGATGACCGGATTCTCAGCTCTGCTTCCATTGTCAACCTGTTGGGATCTCACACCTCATGTAGACGCGGGGCTCTCCACCCTGCATTCACAAAAGAATGAGTGAGAAAGAGAAGTGACATCTTAGTATTATGATGAAAATAGTTTTGACATCGTGGGCCCCCTATAAGTGTCTCAGGAATAACCAGGGGCCCCCAGACTACACTTTGAGAATGGCTAGTCCTGGAGGCATAGAATATAAATGTGTGGCTTCCCATATCCCCAAGGACCTAGCTCCACTTCTCCTCTAACTTCAAAAGTTTGTAGAGTGAGAACAAGAGTCTTCATGAGTGCTGAGCACCAGAATCCAGGGGTGGGGCTGCTACCTCTCCCCCGGGCAGGCTGAGTTCCAAGTGTGCCTTTCTCATCAGGGCAATGGACGTGCATGTCATTGGTCCAGCCGTGCAGACAGGCCCAGGCATGCAGCCGCAATGGGGCGTGAGTCAAAGTGTAGCCATTACTGGACACTGAAAGAAGAACTCGTATGCTCAAGTGGTTATTTTACAGAATACACGGGGAAATGTGCCTTTTCCCAACCTGGCATAGAAACAAAAAAAAAATGTCTGAGGTCTATTAGAGAAGAACTCTTATTAATGTGTCTATCAAGATCAGACAAAGCTCAACTAACATCGGTCCTTGCTATCTTTGCATAGCCCACGATTGTGTAAATCAGCAGTTAATTTCTGCCAGAGTGATACGTTTTGCAGACTTCACAATCTGTCCAGGCACAAATGGTAATTTTTTACAAAGTACTCGGCAGTCAATGTAAAATAAAGATATTATCTTGGGAAAGTTGTGCATTATTACAGTTAGATAAACTTCCCCAGCCACTTGAAAGAAATGAAATATTGATTATTTTTGCAAGAATCTTAATGTAACATTGCTCTTTTCTTAAATCTAAAATGAGCTTCCTACAGTACAGTGGTTTTCATCTGAGAATCTCTATAAATGTTAATGCATTATTCCTCACTCCCGCCACTTATTCAGTTATTAGATTTCTAGAACTGTGCCCTTCAGCAGAAGAGCTTGAGAGAACAGGGACAATAAAATGGCATTAATTAAAAACACTAACATTTTAAAACAGCAGGAGCAATAATAAAGTAACATAAAATTGTTCAAGAAGAAAATGATGCCCTTCTCTCAGCCTTCTCCTCAGAATAGGGCAGCCTAAAAGGTTGTTTTGTGTCCTGAATCTCAATACTTGGGGCAGGGGCGGCAGGGAGGTAACAGTGGCTTGAAAGAGAGAGGACGGTCAGGTGCAGTGGCTCACGCCAGTAATCCCAGCACTTTGGGAGGCTGAGGTGGGTGAATCACCTGAGGTCAGGAGTTTCAGACCAGCCTGGCCACCATGGTAAAACCCCGTCTCTACTAAAAATACAAAAATTAGCAGGGTATGGTGGCACGCACCTGTAGTCCCAGCTACTCGGGAGGCTGAGGCACAAGAATTGCTTGAACCTGGGAAGTGGCAGTTACAGTGAGCCAAGATCGTGCCATTGCACTCCAGCTTGAGTGACAGAGTGAGACCTCATCTAGAGAAAAATGTAAAAAAAGAGAGAGAGGGGAGGGTTCATAAACAGGACGCTTCCCAAGGTCACGTGGAAGGTTGTATAATGACTCGCAACCATTCCCCCGCCTCTTATGACACCACACAGCTGTAAGCCTTCCCACACTGTGAGCATGTGATGGGAAAGTGCTCATTCCCCAGCACCCCTGCCCCCAGGTATAAAGTTGGCATCTGGGAGCAGAAGTGCACCTGCTGTAAGCATATCAAGCCTTTGCCACCCTGTGAATGGCAAGCATTTTTTTCTGCCATCCTGCATATGGGGAAACACCACCAGGGACTAGGCATGATTTCCCCAAGATCATGCAACAAGCCAGTGCCAGGAAGCCAGAGGCTGCTCAGAACGGGCTGTTTCCCCAAGCACGGACATGCAGGGACACAACCACACCCATGATGTCTTGCAGCTGAGGCAGGCCTGCAAGCTGAACCAGCCTGCCCTTCCAGTCACTCCGTGCAGGCAGAAGCCCCCTTTTTAGAAAAATGGATGATGTTTATATCTCCTGATCTTGGGGACCTGGGGATTGGGAACAGCCCTTGGAGGCTTACCCAGGAAGCTCAATTACTGAGCTTCAACTGTTATTTCTGTGCCAAATCCCCCAGCAGAGCTACCAGCCTCTAGGTCTCAGGATGTTGGGGCACTGTGTGCATTTGAGAAGGCTCCAGACTTTCTCCCCTCAATGTGGTGTTTTCAGTCTTCACCTGGCCTGGACTGCCCAGGCATGCACGCTCTGCCGCCCTTACTCAGTCTCCTGGATCAGATACCCAGTGGGCCCTGGGCCCTGAACTCCTGTAGGGACCTGTGATGGGGCCGGAGGCCAACACAGATGAGATTGGCTCCATGGCACAGTGAGTTGGGTTCCTTCCTGTCTGACAACCATAGCTGTGTGCTGGTCTTAGCGCCCACCCCACTTACCCACGACTCCTACCACCCACCTCGATCTTGTTCAGATCCAAATGCAAACATATTCTCCACTGGTTTGGCATCCCATGTAAGCCTGACCTCACAGAGCTGAGCACATTGTGCAATAAAGCTCACAGATCAGGCAAGAATGTGCTGTCGCGAGCAGAGAGAAGGGCCTTCTTGCCTGTGCATGTGGGGAACTAGGGTCCTGTCCTGGCCCTGAGGCAACTGATTGAGAGCTCTGACCAAGGCCTCATAGTCCCTGTAGTAGGATAGTGTGGTCCCTAGAGTCCTTTCCTAGTGTGACTTCCTGTTCATTCAACAATGCAGCTCCATAGTGTCACTACCCACCTATGGGGCACTTATGCTATTAATACAATAGTATGCCAAGGGTCTTCCATGCTTCACCCAGTATTGATACCTATGAGTGCCTGATGAGCTGGGTACTATTATTACTTCCTTTTTTAATTTTTATTTTTATTTTAAGACAGAGTTTCACTCTTGTTGCCCAGACTGGAGTGCTATGGCGCAATCTCGGCTCACTGCAACCTCTGCCTCCCGGGTTCAAGCGATTCTCCTGTCTCAGCCTCCTGAGTAGCTGGGATTACAGGTGTCCACCACTATGCCCGGCTAATTTTTGCTATTTTTAGTAGAGATGGGGTTTCACCATGTTAGCCAAGCTGGTCTCAAACTCCTGACCCCAGGTGATCCGCCCTCCTAGGACTCTCAAAGTGCTGGGATTACAGGTGTGAGCCAGCACGCCCGGCCTATTACTTCCATTTTATAAGGAAGGAAGCAAAGATTCAGAGGGGTGAACTAATAAGCCAGAGAGTCAGGACTTGAAACCAGGCAGTCAGCCTCTAATTCCCACTCTGGGAAGCCTCAGGCTGTCCTGCCAGCAGACGGCCAGTGTGGTTTCCTGGGCAGGTCCCCTGCTAGCCAAAGCTTGCTCCATGCTCAGGGCCACCCTCCATTCTGCACTCCCAAGGCACTCCCAAATCCCACTCAGGCTCCTGTGGGGGTCCTCTCCCCATGCAAAGCCCCTCTTAGCTGTGTCACTTGGCAGCTGAGAATCTCTGTTCCAGCCAAATGCGGGGCCTGCGCTGGGCCAAGCTGTTTGCATTTTTCTCTATTCGGGAAAAGGGTGGCAGCTGAGCGAAGCCGGTTTTTTCCTTGTTGTTGTTGTTGTCTTTAATTCAACTGGCTAAGCCTAACCCTTATTAAACAAGAAGTGCTTTAAAAACAAAAACAAAATAAAGGCCCAGCTCCCAGAGCTTCTGAGGGAGTTGCTTTGTTCAGAGCAGCAGGATCCAGGGCTTCAGGGGAAAGAACAGGACTCAGCCAGTCACCCCAGCTCCCACAGCGCCCACCCCTGCAGGCACACGGCAATGGCGGCACCAGCCTGGCAAGCCTGGTACAGAGGGCAGAGGCCTGGCACCCAGGGTGAACAGGCTTGTGGGAGAGGGCTGGGGAGGGACAGAAAGGGAGAATGGAGGACAGGGGTGGGGCAGGAAGGAGCAGCAGAGGAGGAGTGTCTGACCTGCACTTGTCCTTTCTCTCGGCAGCAGCAGCGAGGAGAGCCCTAAGAAGGACACAGAGCCGGGGAGCAGCCCCTGTTCCCCTGAACTGCAGGGCGGCACCAGGCGTGCATCTCCCCCAGAGTTCTGTGTGCTGGGCCACGGGCTGCAACCGGAGCCTCGGACCGGCCACATCCAGGACAAATCCCAGCCAGAGGCGCAGCCCCAGCAAGAGGAGGTGTCCTGACAGGCTGACGAGGGGGCCACACTCACGCAGTCACCCCAGAAGGCCAAGTGTGACAGCCAAGTGTCCAGCCTGACCCAGAGATGATGGGCAAACCAAACTCCTACTGAGGTGTCCTGGAAAGGCCTGGAAGGTGCACTGCCCAGTGGGTCTGCTGAATTTTAAACAATCGCCGTTTTCAGTCCCAGATCTTGCTCTGCCTTGGGGTTCAAAGGTTAACCAGAACTTTTAGACCCCACAATGACAGTATTTAATGCTTCAAGTGCTGGCCTTAATTTGGGGTGGGGTGGGGGGTGGAGAATGTATAGTTGCATGCTTGATAGGGTTTTAACTGGGTTCATTCCTTGAGATCACTTAAGCCTCACAACAGTGAATGAAGCACATAGCATTCTTCAGTTTTGCGCATATGAAAACCGAAGGTGTGGGGAGAGGCCCCCTCAAGTGTCTGGCTGAAGGTCATACAGCTAAGAAGAGAATAGAGCAAAATTTTGCACAGATGAGTCTGGTGTTAGAATCTCTCTGCTCTTTTTATTACATTCCATTGCCCGTAACTATTGCGTCACTCCACCTGCCTAAAGCAGACATGGGTGCGCAAATGGTCGCAAAGCTTCTTTGTTGTAAGGTTAAGTAGCGGCACAGCATTGACAAAGTCCCTATTGAGAGCTTTGTTTAGAAGTGCATGGCTCCCAAAATGAGAAGGCTGAGTGAGCCAGGATTAAAACACACAGCCCCACCCGTCCTCTGTCCTCTCCTCCTTCCCAAGCTCAGTTTCAATGCTGTAAACTTAAAGCTGACAGCTCACAATACCAGCCACGCTGCCTCTCGGCCTAAGCATGTAGCAAATGCTCTCACTGCCCTACGCATTACATGCTTCTCGACGGAGTAGGGTAAACCAAGCCTCCCAAACAAGGCAGCCCATTCTCCACATGCCGTGGGTGCTGGAGCTCAGAAGATAGCGTGGGTGAGGCATACGTACTCACACGCCGATCTCCCCTCGGAGGCTTCTTGGCCAACTTTATTCCCAGGTCATCTTGCAGAACTTCTGCTGGAGTCGAAATCAAAGTGAAAAACAGTTGTTCATGCCAAAAACCTGCTTCTGCCAATGAGCTAGATATTTGCTGCAGATCTTGGAATGCTTCCACTGGAGGCTGTGGTGTGCGTTCTATTTAGAAAAGATTTTGCAGTAATTGAGTGATTCAATGCCGGCTCAATGGGTTGGCAAAAGACAAGAATTCTTACCCACTGGGGTACAGCAAAGGGACGATCCTCCAGATCTGCTGCAAAGCTGATTTTTAAAGTTTGGGGTAATTATAGACCTCAAACCCATTCTTGCTGGGACTGTGGGCTCAAAAACTTGTTAAACTGGGTCCCTAGGGACTATAGCAACCTCCCCCAGAGAGAGGCTATGACTCTGAGTAAATGAATCCCACCTTGACTTGTCCAATTATTATTCAAAGGCACCCAAAGAACAGCTGATTAAACTACCAAGAGGGGCCACAACCCACCCCTCTGCTGGAAAGGGACACACCCAGCTGTCTGCTCGCATTTGCTCCTGTTGCCGCCCTCATCTCAGAGAAGTGCTCAGGCAGTGCCCAGGCCAGCCGATTCTAGAGCCAAGCCACACCCACTGCTGGGTGGACACTTAGGAGCTGCCTGGACTGCAGGCAACGCAGGGAAGTCCAGCCACCCAGGCAGGGCAGGGGCCAAGGTAAGCACGTGAGGATGGACCAGGTTCAGCAAACTTGCCCGACAGAGATCTGGGCATTCTCCCTAAATGGTTGGGCAGACCAACCATTGGGTCACCATGGGGTGAGCCTTAGGTAAGCTGGGCACTGAGCTGAGTGAGCAGGAGACACACAGTGTGAGCGGCCTTTGAGGTCTAGCTCACAAGTAAGTGGCTTCAGGTGGGACTGCTCAGAAAGTGGGCCCTGCCTGGGCTCAGATTTAGGGGCAGGATTCCTGGAGGTCCGAGGAAACGAAGCTGTTCCCCAGCTGCAGGGAGACTGGAGTGGGACACAGTGGGTGAAACTGGGGTACCATGAGGGGTGGAACCCCAGGAATTATACACATTTTCATTACTGGAACCGGGATATGAAGTGGAGCCACTCCAGCAGTGAGGGGAAGCAAGGCTGAGTCTCCAGCCCAGGCCTCCTTCCGTAAAGGGCCTCATCTTAAAAGTCCAGGGCTGGGTAGAAAGTGGAAAGGGTGGCCGAGTGCCCCCTGCTGTGGCCATGCAAGCTAGCGGCAGCAGGGAGCCAGGCAGATTATTCCACCACAGAAGGGGTCAGTATCATGGAGAACACGCAGGAAGGGTCCGGAATGAACAACGGTGCTTTCCGTGAGCATGCATGGCAGGAGGCTGTCTGAGACTAGAGGTTGTCCCTCGCCAGGCTAGGCTGGCAAGCAGCAGGAAGTGCCCACCCACCATATTGCAGGCAGCAGACGAAGGGGTACAGGGCACCCGGGATCCTGCCATCAGCTGTGGAGATGCCCATGATGCCTCCTTGTCCCTCTGGAGGACCTCCACGTTTGCTTGGGGCCAACGTGTGCCAGGACAGGGCGAGGCTCCTGCCATAGGTCCCCACACACGATGTCATAAAAGCCCCCAGCTGCCACCAGACCCAGGCAGCCGGGACAGTGAGCTGGTGACACCATTGTGTTGCCCAGTAACCTTAGGCTACTGGAATTCCAAGTCAGCTTCCCCCACTCCAGGGAAGATGGGGAGGGGTTGCCAAGGTGCTGGGGGCTGGGGGTCAATTAGGTCAAAGGTGAAGCAGTGCTGAGCCGACATAGGAGCAGGCGGGTCAAAGATGTGTTTTTGGCTACCATACCAACTACCAGACTTAGCTCAAATTACATGTGAATTAGACTTTGTACAAAAGGAATTAAATCCACAATGGAACAGTTTTGTGGCATCTGGTCAGTTTTGCCTCCTAGAGACCAGGTCTTCCACAAACTTGAGTCTGCCTTGGAGCACGCATTGCTGGTGGCAGGAGGGGCAAACCCAGCTGTACAGCTTCTCAGACAAGGGCTGCTCACGCCCACCATCTCCCTTCTACCCAAGAATGGTATCCTTGCTGGGCCAAATCCACTTCCTTTGCCCAAGGGGGAAGGGAGGACAGTTTTTCTTTGTTCTGCTTTTTGTTTTAATAAAAATTATTAAGCCAATGAACCCAACTCATTGAAGACCCATGAGTCTATACTTTTTCTTCATAGAGTTAGAAACCAAGGACTGTCCGGGATGCAGAGAAGGAGGAACCCACCACAGATCAATCTAAGGGGTACATGTCATACCCATCTTCTCACTCGGGCCAGCTCCACTCTGGAGGAGCACAGCTTTCATCTTCCCGACCATGGAGACCCCAGAGCTGTGGAGAGGGAGGTACTGAGCCCAGCCCTTTACCCAACACTTTAGTGACACTGTAAACAGTTCCACCCCAGGGAAAAAAACAGAATTTTCTGCTCCCATCAAAAGGATTCATGGAGAAAAAAAAAAAAAGTAAACATCATATTCTGGCAGAACAGTGATAGCTTTTTGCAAGTATAAATACAATCTTCAAAATGAAATATAACCTCCCTCCGTGGCTGGGGTCTGAGCTGCTGTTTACTTTAAGCCGTATCTATTCTCCTTCCTCACATCGTATGCCCAGTTCAGAGCCTAAAATAATCCATGTTGTAGGAAACGCAGGGCAGACAGACCAAAGAGACTTTTCTTTCATTGTGAAGGGCCTAGGATTGACAAGACTTGCCTCATAAACCTTACAATGTGAATGAAAGGGATTTTGAGAAATATATTCTTTTTCTGAAATAAACCAGTGTTTTGCATGTATCAGGGGAGCCGCTGCAGTGAATTATAAGTGCTGACGTGTTTGTCAATTGATCGTCTGGCTGACGGCTTACAGGCTGCTAAAGCACCCACTCTATCTTTCAAAGGAAATCTTTTCAAAGGTAATATATTTTTAAGTAGCCCTACATCAAAGATTCAGTTGAACTGCCATAAAGTACATGTGTTCTGAGCCTGTATTAACAGAACATGTTATACTGCACCATCGTCTACTCCCCCTGCCTACCTGAAGTTTAACTAAAGCTCCATCAATCCATCCAGACGTTTTTATGAAATGTAATTAAAAATGCATCACACAAGAAGAGGAGCAAACAGTTAATTCACTCAGCACTCTAATTCAATTTTAGGAAGGACCCTGGACACTGCAGGCTTGATCGCACTCCTGGACTTCACAAAGTAACTTTGTGAATGGTCGGTGGGCCCTGCATCAGGTGGCTCTAGGATTCCACTGATCTAGTCACCCGCTTCTGAACGCTGTCACTGCAGACAGCCTTGAAGTCTAGCACACGAGGCAGCAATCGGTTTTGGCTGGAGTGATAGCACTGGCGGGGCTCAGTTAATGCCCATAGATAAAGCTGACTGGCCTAAATTGGAGGAAGAAGAAAAAGAGGAGGAAGAGAGCAGGAGGGGAAAGAAACAAGGGGTATGGTAAATGGGCCACGCATTCTCAGGAGCCAGAGGGTATCACGCTCCTGAGAGTTGGAATTAGAACACCAGAGCCTGAGTCATGACACCTCCATCCCCTGGCTCTGTGACCTGGCATCTCTGAGCCCGTGTCTTCATCTGCAAAGCAGTGATAATAATGTCAGCCTATTTATCCTGCCATCTGCACAACAGGGGCAAACCTGTCTTTTCTAAGGCATCTTTTTGAGCCACCTCGGGGAACGGAACTCATAATCCTGGCCATTTTGGTCTTTAGTGTTCATCTCTGCTGCCTCCGCACTTTAAGATCCCGATTGAGAAAAGAAGCCAATATCATTTCCCCCTCATTCCTGGGCTGCGCTTTGATCTTTGGAGAAACTTAAAAACAGCTGTCAAACTCAGCAAGAATTGACTTCCTTCTTTGAAGGTTTTCATGTCTTTCAAAGTGAAGAGAAAAGACTTTACAATATTTGCTTGCAATTGCAAGTACATATGTCAAATATACCACATGGAAAAAAACAAATTAAGCCTCTGAATCTCTCATCTTTCCCATGTTGAGTCATGAGGCTTGTCAGTCAGTCAGATAGATGACTGGCAATTACTCTGAACACTGCTAAACAGCAGGCTTTGCACACAGTGTGGGATGAGGCTCCAGTTAATAATTCTACCTTTCTTTGTATGTAACACTCTACTTTTTCAAAATGCAATCATGTACATTGTTTCATTAAATCTTTAGAGGAAAAAAGACGCTATGAGATGGACAAAGCAAGTGTTTTTTCAATACCTTTTACACATGAAAAAAAGATCTCACTCCAAAGATACATTGCCAGTGAGGGCAGAGCAGGCCTCTTACCCTGGCCAGCCTTCCTCCTGATACCTGCTGAAAGCAAGATCTAGATTATTCCATAGAGGCAGTACTGGAAGGAGACAGCATACCTTTCTATGGAAGAAATTCTCCATTTTCTCCAACATTTACAAATAGGAAATTATTTTTCTTTTTAAAGATACAGGGTCTCACTCAATGTCGCCCAGGCTGGAGTGAAGTGACACAATCATAGCTCACTGTAGCTCAGTGCAGCCTCGAACTCCTAAGCTCAAGTGATCCTCCCACCTCAGTCTCCTGATTAACTGGCACTGCAGGCATGCACCACCATTCCCAGCTACGATTTTTTATTTTTTTGTAGAGATGGGGTCTTGCTCTGTTGCCCAGACTGGTCTCAAACTCCTAGACTCAAGCAATCCTCCCACCTCAGCCTCCCAAAGTGCTGGGTTTACGGGTGTGAGCTGCCACACCTAGCCCAGGACATTACTTTTCATATCTAATCAAAGTTCAGCTGAAATTCTAGCCATTCCTCAAACTAGCTTGGATGAAAACTCAAAACAATGTTTCCAAGAGTTTTTAAAATAATTCCCTCTATGAACCTCAACCACTCCCATCATTTTCCACACACACACACACACACACACACACACACACACACACACACACACAACTGCTGCTAGCATTAAGAGAAAAAGAAAAGTCTTTTCCAAAAATCTTTGCTTCTCATTGCCATGAACCCTGAAGTGGGCTTCCAGATGAAAATTGGCAGGAGCAGACGTGGCCTCCTTCTTGAGACAGCTCTTTATTGCCAGTGCCCCACAGCGGCAAAAACCAGTGGATGAGACAGAAAATAATATAGACCCTGGGAAACAAATTGCCTTCATGAAAATTATTTATCTAGCAATTTTTTTTCCTCCTTTGGAAGGGGACAGTATTGGCTATGTTTACAAAACCTGGTGACATTTTAGAGCGATTATTTAGTTAACGGCTTCTGACTTCAGCTGCAGAAGTGCCGCATCACTTTAAGGATGTAAAAATTCTCAAGGAGAACCCAAGGTGATGTTAATAACAGCTGTCAACTCACAGCGAGGTAATTATAAAGATGTGATTAAAATAAAGCAAAGCCTTCAAATGTTACAGCCAGCTTCACTGAAACACCAGGGGACGGAATATGGCGAAACCAGCACGCCCCCTGAATAAACCCCAGTAATCATAAGGACCAAACCTGAGCCCCCAAGAGGTCCCTGACTCAGAAACACCCACCAGGGAGCATCTGTGCACACAGTGATGCTGCCGTGCTGTCTGGAACCCGGCTGGGAGCAGGCAGTTAGGACGCTGCTTCCCAGGCTTCCTGATCCTCAGAATCAGCTGCTTGATAATTTGCAGATTCCCAGGCCTTCCCCCCAGTAACAGATCTACAGCTGAGACTAAGAGTCTGAGTTTTTAAAAAGCACTTGTTCCCGTCTCTCTCTCCCCGTTCTCCTCCCGCAAGCAATTCTTTTCATCAACCACATTTGGTAAAGACTGATTTAGGGATGCTGACTCCCAGGTGTGGGCTAGCCTGGGAACCTAATAACCACTGAAAGCTTTGAGATTGTGACAGAGGTTCTCAACTTTGAGTGATCAAGGCTCTGATTCGGTAGGTCTGCAGTACAACCCAGGGATCTGTACTTTAACAAGCACCGTGGGTGATACTGTAACAAGCAAGCCACAGTCCACACTTCGTGCCTACAGCGTCCCCAGGCCAACAGCTTCCAATCAGGGCATACCTGAAGTCTCCCCTTTTTCCACTATGAAGCTGCAGCATTACCTCTGCTTGCATATGAGTCTCTGCCAAAACTCAGGTCGTCATGGCAGGCTCCCTTGCTATAGCAAGCTCTGAATAGGCTACACTTTGCTCATGTAGCCTTCATTTGTGTCCACAAATCCCGTCCCCACCAGAGGCCAAGTGTTCACAGCATGTCCTAATGATCAGAGCTGACCAAGCAGACCCTCTCTGCCCTGAAGCTTTTGGGAGCAAAACTCTGGGACCAGACTAACTCCAGAAATCCATGGGGTTTCCGTGGCTTATTTCAAAGGGCTCAAACTGACCCAAGGGGAGGTAAATGTCTTGGAGCCATAAAACATCCTGGAACAGAAAGTCAGGGGCTTTGGAGTCAAACAGGCCTGGACACACACCCAAGTTTCAGCCACTTTCTTGCTGTCTTAGGACCTGACGCCTCAAAGTGTGGTCCCTGCCAGACTCACAGGATTGACCTCACCTGGGAATTGAACACTACAGACTCTCAGGCCCCACCCAGACCTGCTGAAGCAGAATCTGAACTTTACCAAGATTCCCAGGTGATTCCTGTGCACTGGCTGCGGTTATTCATTAAGCATCGCTGAGGCCCAGTTTCCTCATCAGGAAATGGAAGAAATAATATCTTCCTTATAAGATGTCAAGAAGAATGGCAGACCTGGAACACTGCAGAATTTAATGAGGAGGTTGGCTCTTCCTCTCGGCTTCCCTTTCTGGGCCCCCATCTTCCTCCCTCCATCACAAGGAGAGCAGGAGACTTATGGTCATTTCCCCCTTTCTTTTCCTAATGGCAGAACCAAGTTATAATAAGAGGAAAATGCTTTAGGCAAGAAAGCACTCTGCTCCCCTGCAAATCATCCCCTCTCCAGTCTCAAGAGTCAGAAGAGTGGAGGGGAAGGAACAGCCACAAGGAGAGAAGAGCTTCTGGGTTTTCTTCTCTGGGGGGAGGGATGGTTCTGAGGGCGTCTGGAGAAAGGGTAAGACAGCTGGAGAAATGGCAGGCCCCAAGCAGAACAGCTCCCTGTTTTCGTGGCCTTATGCTAAATGCTTTATGAGAATGTTCTCAGTCATCGTCACCACAGCCAGGTGTAGGTGGGCATTGATGTCATCCACACACTAGATTGATATGGAAAGATCAGAGAGGTTGATAGATGGGTCCCAAGCCACACGCCAGCAGGCCACAGGCCTGACTCCAGAGCCTGGACTCAGTTTCTACCGTCAACCCCAGAATACTCTAGGGCTGTGAGGTAAGGGGAGCTGGCAGGCCAGGAGCCCACAGGGCCTAAGCCATGGCCAGTTTCCTTTTTTATCTGATATTTTATTGTGGTTTTTGAATTCACCCAGCCATTAGAATCACCTGGAGTTAAAAGAAAAAAAAATACAGCTGCCTAGGCTTCACCTCAGACCAAGTGAATCAAAATCCCTGTGGGGTGGGGGTAGACCTCAGTATTTTTTAAGTCTTGCCAGATGATTCCGAAGCACAGTGAGAGGGTAGAAACGTTTATTATCTCAGCAGGTAGGAGATAATAAAGGGAGGAGAAAACAAGATGAGAGATTTTGTTCCTGGACCAAACTGAGGGTTGGGCTGCTATTTCTCGTGGCCCAGTAACAAGATGCAGATGAACTGGGGAGGAAGAGAGTTTTTTATTTCCATAACCGGTTACAGGGAGAAGGCCTGGAAAATATCGCCAGACCAACTCAAATTACAAAGTTTTCCAGAGCTTGCATATCTTCTAAGCTACATGTCTATGTGTAAGTGTGCACTCATCTAAAGACATAAGCGATTAATTTCTTTTAATCTGTAGCTAACATCTAAGTCCTGAAGACCTTCCTCTGGAGCCTCAATAGATTTACTTAATCTAAATGGGTCCAGGTGCTGGGGTGATTACCCTTATCTTGTCTCCTGCTAAATCCTGAAGGTTTGGGGAGTTCCTTCAGACCTCCAATAAACTTGTTTTTGGAGGCCTGGGGAGTTTCTTCAGACACCCAGTAAAGCTTGTTTAATCCTAAACAGGTCCCACTAAGAATTCCTTCATTATCTCATCATGCTTCAAGGCCCAGCAAAGGCCTAGGCAAACTCTTGGTGGGCTTTTGTTACATTCCAGCCTTTGTATAAGGCCACCAGCTCTCTCAGCTTTTAATGTTTAACTTAACCACTCAGTCAGTATTGAAACAGTTGTTATGGATGCCTGCATTAGTGATACCTGGCCTGCCACAATGGGACCTATAGGAAAAGTTTCCTAAAATCTCAAAAAAATTCTCCTTGATGTAAAAGGGAATCCTGGCAGTTACAGCTCTCAGACAAGTCTTCTGTCTATGAGTCTCACTCTGAACTGAGTACACTCATTTTTCTAAGAAAACGAGTTTTTAAAATTATTTCTCTTCTCTTTTCCCCATTTCCCCTTGTTCCCCACTTCCTACTTAGCCCTTTAGAAATGCAACTATACGGCACTACTCACAATAGCAAAGACTTGGAACCAACCCAAATGTCCAACAATGATAGACTGGATTAAGAAAATGTGGCACATATACACCATGGAATATTATGCAGCCATACAAAATGATGAGTTCATGTCCTTTGTAGGGACATGGATGAAGCGGGAAACCATCATTCTCAGCAAACTATCGCAAGGACAAAAAACCAAACACCGCATGTTCTCACTCATAGGTGGGAATTGAGCAATGAGAACACTTGGACGCAGGAAGGGGAACATCACACACCGGGGCCTGTTGTGGGGTGGGGGAGGGGGGAGGGATAGCATTAGGAGATATACCTAATGTAAATGACGAGTTAAGGGTGCAGCACACCAACATGGCACATGTATACATATGTAACAAACCTGCACGTTGTGCACATGTACCCTAGAACTTAAAGTATAATAAATAAATAAACAAATAAACATATATATAAAAGAAATGCAACTATAACCTTTTACCTCCCCTTTACCAGACACTCCCTCCAGGGCAGGCTCATCTAACTGTGTGCTTAGAAGCTCTAGAGCAGAACTTGCACCCACCAGGAAACTGCCTGGAGACACAACAGTCAATTAATAACCCAAAATATGCCCACTATGAAACTCCCTCCCACCCGGAGAGCTTCAGCCACTTTACAACCTAGTTCTGCCCACGAAGATGCCAACTTGACCACCCGTTACATAAGTCATCAAAGCAAGTATGTGGACTCCCCCACCTGCCCGCTTCCTCTCCTGCATGCCATTCGTGCCAGCACCCCCCCCCCCGCCCCTTTAAAAGTGCCCACTTTCTGCTCCAAAAACGACACAGTACCCTTCAAGGCAGCTTCTTCCCCTAAACTAGCTTTGGAATAAAAAGTCAGTTTCTTTATACCAGGCCTCCCTTTTGTTCACTGGAGTCTGCAAGCAGTGAGTGACTGCACCTGCATTTTTGTTACATGGAGAGAGAGATTGAGAGAAAGAGAATCTTCCATCATTAGAGGCTGTATTCCCACCCCCAAGAGCATCTCATGTAAGTGGAGTTCCTGGCCACACACAGAACCAAGCAAAGTATGTGTGGGCTTAGCTCCAGCCCCAGCTCTTAGGAAAATCTTCATGTCCCATGACAGGCCGTCCCATTAGATTCCCACAGGTATTCCCAACAGGCCCAGGGCCAGGTTACCAACATGCTGTCTTCCCTTCATTTTAAAAGTAATGAGGTAAGGAAGTCTTTGGAGATGGAAATTTCTCAAGGTACACCAGAGCCACCCAGTGCCTCCCAGCAGCGTCACACCACAGGTGTGGTTAATAAAACCTGAAATAATGAGGGAAAAGAGAACAGTGCAAAGATGTATTCTGCACTTTTCCACTGTTTTCAGCTGTTTTCAATGCCTCCGCCCCTGAGAGTGGGTGGAGGCCCATGGGATGGGAAGCTTCCTGTGTGAGAACACACATGGAAGGCAGGAAGACAGGACAGTACTGCTAAGCTTCATTTCTGCCGTCAAAATCCTTGCCAGACTCTACGTCCCTGGCCTCCTAGGGATCTAAAAAACCCTGAAATGTTCTGATACATTCTAGGATAAAAGCAGAAAATGCAAGTCTCCTCACCAAACCAAAAACATTTGCTCAGATGACAGGCAAATGCAATTCATTAAATTGTTCAACACTTAAAACATTTACTGTCAGCCTCTTGGGCATTTTTGGATGGCTGCCTGTCTAGCAGGCCTTTAACCTGGTTCAATCAGAATCAACAAAGAGCTAGATGGTCGCAGGGAAGCCCCTGCTGGGGTCACAATCAGGTGAGAAGCAGCTCACTGGGCTAGAATTACCCAAAGTCACTCTTAAGCCGCCTATGACAAGCCCAAGGCCCGGGATGACTCGCAGGCCCAACCTCACCCCAGGGCGTAAGGAGGGGCCGGACTAACTACACCTGCCACAGAGGCAAGATGGGAAAGTGGCTTCCTCAGCCTGGTGGGGTATGGAAATACATAAGTGAGTAGATTCGGGGCTTTCCAGAGCCAGACTCCCCAGGAGAGGCTCAGAACAGGGATGTGGAATGGATGTTAGGCCTGGGGGGCAGATGACAGTGGAAAGAGGTTCCACTGGGGAAGGGCAGGGGAGGGGGGTGTCTGCCAGAAAACTTGCTGGCATGAGGCTGGGCCCTCAGGGCCTCGGTCGTCTGGATCTGCCCCAGCACGTGGCTGCAGGCTGGGCTCCCCTGCAAGAGCTGGGATGCTGCCTCTTCAGCCTTTGCCTTACCAGGCCTGCCTTGCCTGTGCATTTGAGGTCATGGCCTTAGCTCTAACTCTTTCTGGTCACACAGTTGTTAACCTGCCACTGGCCCCAGCCAAGGCAGAGCCACTCCTACCTAAAGTGTCCAGAGCCTGAGCCCCAGACTTCCCTCTCCACTGCCGGGACTTCATTTCACTGGCTGTTCCCCCAGGGGCCAACACCTTCCCTGCTTCCACAAGTCCTGGCCCGTGCTGTGCCCACTCGCCCCTCCAGCCTTGTGATGTGGCCCACAATTGCAGCCTGTGCAGTTTCAGAGACTCGGCAGCATCTGCACACTGGTAGCACTTTACGCTCCACATGCATCTCCATTTAGGGTGTTTCAATGGCAAAGCATTGTCTAGTCCTCTTCAGAACTAGCCAGAACTCCAACTTCTAGAGAAGGCTTTTAGTGATGCAAATCTCAAATTCCCCTTGTCTTTTGATAAGCTGGGCCGATCAGAAGGTTCCCACAGGACCAACAGACACGTGCTGCAGCTTTTGCAGGGCAGAAGCACGATGTCCCTGAACACGTTTGTTACACTCACCTCCAATCAGGCCCATAACAAATGGACTGGATTCGATGACCAACTCAGGCTGCGGGTTTCAGGAGGGCTTGCCCAGCAGCTCACAGATGGGCAACTATCGTCTCGAGCGGGCTGCAGCTTGCAGGGCTGTGCTACCCTTTTTCTTCCTAACTCTTTGTCTCAACATTGTCTGCAACTGGTTTTGCTGCTGTCACATTTCATTTCGTTCATCACAAACCTAGTTACTGGAAAATTCTCTGTGATTAAAAAAGTACAAGATAATAAAACCTTAGAAAAATAAGTAATTCTTTTATTTCTACTTCAAAATATACCATGTACATCTGGAACTCTAAGGGGGAAAGTAACCAGGAGAATAGTCCATCAAAAAAATAAGATAAATAATAATTGCCCATTTCAGATCCATCTTTAATCCAGCTGAAAAGGGTATGAGCTGCCAGTTGTCTTGCTGTCAGGGGCCACCCCTCTGTCAGTGGCCTTGCGGCTGCCTCCCAAGGACTCTGAGTCTAAGAGTTCCTGGAGCGTCTTGAGGACGTGCTTTGGCTGGCTGGCGGCAAAGTCCAGCAGGCGGGAGCCCATGTGCTCCTGGAGGCTCCTGGACAGCCGGCACACCACCCCGCGGATGTTCCCGCTGGGTCCAGGCAGGGTGCCATTCCTGGTGGCGGTGTTCAGGAAGTGCCAGAGGATGGGAAGGACATGCCGCTCTACAGCTTGAGGCTTCCGGGGGTAAACTGAGGCCACCAGCACTGTCAGGCAGAAAAGGAGAGTCACTTGAGCCAGGCACTCTCTCCCTCTCCCACTTCCCTCTCTTGGGACACCAACTTTGTCCCCCAAAGGGCTGGCAGCCCAGCAGGCACAGCAACTAAGGATCATGACACATTTAGCAGCCTATGAAAATGTGTTAGCTTCTTTTAACATTAGTAGAAAATATATGAATATGTCCAACCTGGTTTATATCTGTGCTTATACCAACCAGTCAGAAACTATAATTTTTAAATATTTTTTATGGAGAAAGGGGCACGCAAAGGCAGAAATATGCAGAATCTCTGACAATCATAATGGTTCCTCCAGCCCAGGGAACAGGAAAGAGGCAGGCACGCCTGGTTACAATCCTGCCCCCATCAACTGTGTCAGCATGAGGAAGCCACCCGACCTTTCTGAGCCTTTTCCAAACCCATAAAGTAAGGATAAAAATGCTGAACCAACCTCTCCAGATTGTTAGAAATTCGATAATATACATAAAGTGCCTACCTGTAGGCAGGCAGGTGACAAATAGTAACTATAGTAATACTGCATTTATCCACATCACCACCTATGGAAGTCCACACAAATACAGAGAAAAACTACTGGGGAGGGAAATCAAGACCCTCTCACATGAAGCATGCTGGCAGACAAGACAGCTGGCAGGGGAGAAGCCTAGCACAGCCTCCCCGGTGCCCGGATGCCAAACCTCAGGACGAGACCAGCAGCAGAGGCATGAACGTGCTTGTGAACCAGCAAGCTCTGCACAGACCATTCCAGTGATAAGCCCCCATATCTGGTTTCCCAAGGCCCCCAACCCTCTCTAAACCCCGGAAAACCCAGAAGCCAGCTGAATCTGCCAACCAGCTCTTCATCACCTGAGTAAATGCCAGGGCTGTGGCCACATTAAAACCACATCAAGGGCTCTCCTGGGTCCCCAGAGGGGCTGCTCAGGCCTTCAGCTGTGGCCGCATTATCCTAAGCGCATTAGCACTATCGAAGCTGGCTTTGCGATTCACATGCTCTGCCTGTCATCCAGCCGAAGGATAAGTGCTGGGGCAGGCAAACAACACTAACAGCAGCGCTTTATTGATTCTGTGGGCCGGGAATTCTGTGGAAAACAGTTTCCATATCCTGGAAACTGCCTGAGCCCAGGGCTCAGAGCTTCACATCACAGCTCCATTTCATGCTCACAGCACCCCTGAGAGGCAGGATGCTTGTCCGTTTTCCAGAGGAGGAAAGCAAGACTCAAATCAAGGCAAAGGGCAAAGCAGAGGACAAAGGCCTAATCTGCCTGGACTCCAAAGTCCACACTCTTTCTACCGCATGCTGTCCCCAAATTTCTAGGGATTCCATATTTCAGAGGTGATCTGGAGCTTTATTTTTTGTTTTATTTATTTATTGAGACAGTGTCTTGCTCTGTCACCCAGGCTGGAGTAGAGTGGCACGATCACGGTTCACTGCAGTCTCGACCTCCTAGGCTCAAGTAATTCTCCTGCCTCAGCCTCCCCAGTAGCTGGGACCACAGGCATGCGCCTCCACGCTCAGTTATTTTTTTAAAAATTTTTTTTGTAGAGATGGGGGTCTCATTATGTTACCCAGGCTGGTCTTGAACTCCTGGTCTTAAGCAATCTGCCCATCTTGACCTCCCAAAGTGCTGGGATCATAGGTGAGCCACCTTGTTTTATTTTTCATGAAACTGCAATTTGTCCTTCCTTCATCAGGACCACATCATCTAATCCCCTAGGATACCTTCCCCTTAGAGCCCCACGGGTCCCTCTGATTTCAAAGCCAGCCTGGAATAAGGAGGAACCAGGGAAGATGCCCTGGGCCACCCTCTGGTCAGCCTGACACTCTCTTGGTGACATTTATCAAGGAATGTTGGCTTTGAGGCTGCACCCTTGGGGCTCTTGCAGGGAACCTCCGAGGGTCACAGGATCCTCAGAGGTGAAGGTGGTCCTGATAACTGGAAGGGCAGGACTGCACCTTTTGGGTCACCCCAGCATTCCCCAGGAAAGGATCCTGGGGTAAAGGGCTTGGAGGAGCTTTCTAAAGTGGAGCAAAGAGGTACACTGGTTGGAAAGAGTTGAGAGTTCTATTCCTTGTGCTTGAAACAGGCTGAGTAGGAAGAGAACAGGTGACAAGAAAGCAGTCCCTGTCAGCCCCAGGGTGGGAGATGAGGGGAAACTAGAAGGGGGACAGTGAGAGGGAACCAAAAGAAAACGAATGACCCTGAGTAGCCGCCTACACTGAATAACGATAACTCAAAAGTATCCTGAATCCCTATGGAATGCAAAAATAGGTGAGAACACAGAGATTTCTATGCCCGTGTTTATACCAACCTTTTTCACAATCGCCAAAAGGCAGAAGCAGCCCAGTGTCCATTGAGGAATGGATAAACAAAATGTGGTATATACATTTAATGGAATGTTTTTCAGCCTTCAAAAGGAAGGGAATTCTGGCCAGGTGCTGTGGTTCATGACTATAATCCCAGCACTGTGGGGGTCCCAGGTGGGTGGATCACTTGAGGTCAAGAGTTCAAGACCAGCCTGGCCAACATGGCAAAACCCTGTCTCTACTAAAACTACAAAAATCGGGCCAGGCGCAGTGGCTCACGCCTGTAATCCCAGCACTTTGGGAGGCCAAGGCGGGTGGATCACGAGGTCAGGAGTTCAAGACCAGCCTGGCCAACATGGAGAAACCCCATCTCTACTAAAAAAAAAAAAAAAATACAAAAATTAGCTGGGCATAGTGGTGCGTGACTGTAATCCCAGCTACTTGGGAGGCTGAGGAAGGAGAATTGCTTGAACCGGGACCAGGGAGGCAGGGGTAGCAGTGAGCTGAGATCGCGCCACTACACCCCAGCCTGGGCAACAAAGCAAGACTCTGTCTAAAAAAAAAAAAAAAAAAAAAAATTAGCTGGGTGTTGTGGTGGGCGCCTGTAATCCCAGTTACTTGGGAGCCTGAAGCATGAGAATGGCTTGACCCTAGGAGACAGAGGTTGCAGTGAGCTGAGATCTCATCACTGCACTCCAGCCTGGGTGACAGAACGAGAATCTCTCTGAAAAAAAAAAAAAAAAAAGGAAGGAAATTCTGACACCCGCTACAACATGGATAAATCTTGAGGACATTCTGCTGTGTGAATTAAGCCAGACACAAAAAGACAAACTGTACAGTTCCATTTATATGACATACCTAGAATAGCCAAAATCGTAGAGACAGAAAGTAGTTGGTGGTTGCCAGGGACTGGGGAAGGGAGGAATGGGGAGCTAGTGCCTAATGGGGACGTAGTTTCTGTTTTGCAAGGTAACAGTTCGGAAGATGACTGCAAAAATCATGGACACTACCACTGAACTGTACAACTAAAAATGGTTAAGGTGGTACATT